>NC_000002.12:93921814-94014745 GCF_000001405.40 Homo sapiens
AGCAATGTCAGGAACTTTTTCATGATGTATCTACTCAGCTAACAGAGTTGAACCTTTCTTTTGAGAGAGCAGTTTTGAAACACTCTTTTTGTGGAATCTGCAAGTGGATATTTGTCTAGCTTTGAGGATTTCGTTGGAAACGGGATTACATATAAAAAGCAGACAGCAGCATTCCCAGTAACTTCTTTGTGATGTTTGCATTCAAGTCACAGAGTTGAACATTCCCTTTCATAGAGCAGGTTTGAAACACTTTTTTTGTAGTATCTGGATGTGGACATTTGGAGCGCTTTCAGGCCTATGGTGAAAAAGGAAATATCTTCCAATAAAAGCTACATAGAAGCATTCTCAGAAACTTATTTGTGATGTGCGCCCTCAACTAACAGTGTTGAAGCTTTCTTTTGATAGAGCAGTTTTGAAACACTCTTTTTGTAAAATCTGCAAGAGGATATTTGGATAGGTTTGAGGATTTCGTTGAAAACGGGATTGTCTTCATATAAACTCTAGACAGAAGCATTCTCAGAAGCTTCATTGGGATGTTTCAATTGAAGTCACAGTGTTGAACAGTCCCTTTCATAGAGCAGGTTTGAAACACTCTTTTTGTAGTATCTGGAAGTGGACATTTGGAGCGCTTTCAGGCCTATGGTTTAAAAGGAAATATCTTCCCCTGAAAACTAGACAGAAGCATTCTCAGAAACTTATTTGTGATGTGCGCCCTCAACTAACAGTGTTGAAGCATTCTTTTGATAGGGCAGTTTTGAAAAACTCTTTTTGTGGAATCTGCAAGTGGATATTTGTCTAGCTTTGAGGATTTCGTTGGAAACGGGATTACATATAAAAAGCAGACAGCAGCATTCTCAGAATCTTATTTGTGATGTGCACCCTCAACTAACAGTGTTGAAGCTTTCTTTTGATAGAGCAGTTTTGAAACACTCTTTTTGTAAAATCTGCAAGAGGATATTTGGATAGCTTTGAGGATTTCGTTGGAAACGGGATTGTCTTCATATAAACTCTAGACAGTAGCATTCTGAGAAGCTTCATTGGGATGTTTCAATTGAAGTCACAGTGTTGAGCAGTCCCTTTCATAGAGCAGGTTTGAAACACTCTTTTTGTAGCATCTGCAAGTGGACATTTGGAGCGCTCTCAGGACTACGGTGAAAAAGGAAATATCTTCAAATAAAAGCTAGATAGAAGCAATGTCAGAAACTTTTTCATGATGTATATACTCAGCTAACAGAGTTGAACCTTCCTTTGAGAGAGCAGTTTTGAAACACTCTTTTTGTGGAATCTGCAAGTGGATATTTGTCTAGCTTTGAGGATTTCGTTGGAAACGGGATTACATATAAAAAGCAGACAGCAGCATTCCCAGTAACTTCTTTGTGATGTTTGCATTCAAGTCACAGAGTTGAACATTCCCTTTCATAGAGCAGGTTTGAAACACTCTTTTTGTAGTATCTGGATGTGGACATTTGGAGCGCTTTCAGGCCTATGGTGAAAAAGGAAATATCTTCCCCTGAAAACTAGACAGAAGCTTTCTCAGAATCTTATTTGTGATGTGCGCCCTCAACTAACAGTGTTGAAGCTTTCTTTTGATAGAGCAGTTTTGAAACACTCTTTTCGTAAAATCTGCAAGAGGATATTTTGATAGCTTTGAGGATTTCGTTGGAAACGGGATTGTCTTCATATAAACTCTAGACAGAAGCATTCTCAGATGCTTCATTGGGATGTTTCAATTGAAGTCACAGTGTTGAACAGTCCCTTTCATAGAGCAGGTTTGAAACACTCTTTTTGTAGTATCTGGATGTGGACATTTGGAGCGCTTTCAGGCCTATGGTGAAAAAGGAAATATCTTCCCCTGAAAACTAGACAGAAGCATTCTCAGAAACTTATTTGTGATGTGCGCCCTCAACTAACAGTGTTGAAGCTTTCTTTTGATAGAGCAGTTTTGAAACACTCTTTTTGTGGAATCTGCATGTGGATATTTGTCTAGCTTTGAGGATTTCGTTGGAAACGGGATTACATATAAAAAGCAGACAGCAGCATTCTCAGAATCTTATTTGTGATGTGCGCCCTCAACTAACAGTGTTGAAGCTTTCCTTTGATAGAGCAGTTTTGAAACACTCTTTTTGTAAAATCTGCAAGAGGATATTTGGATAGCTTTGAGGATTTCGTTGGAAACGGGATTGTCTTCATATAAACTCTAGACAGAAGCATTCTCAGAAGCTTCATTGGGATGTTTCAATTGAAGTCACAGTGTTGAACAGTCCCTTTCATAGAGCAGGTTTGAAACACTCTTTTTGTAGTATCTGGAAGTGGACATTTGGAGCGCTCTCAGGACTGCGGTGAAAAAGGAAATATCTTCCAATAAAAGCTAGATAGAAGCAATGTCAGAAACTTTTTCATGATGTATCTACTCAGCTAACAGAGTTGAACCTTCCTTTGAGAGAGCAGTTTTGAAACACTCTTTTTGTGGAATCTGCAAGTGGATATTTGTCTAGCTTTGAGGATTTCGTTGGAAACGGGATTACATATAAAAAGCAGACAGCAGCATTCCCAGTAACTTCTTTGTGATGTTTGCATTCAAGTCACAGAGTTGAACACTCCCTTTCATAGAGCAGGTTTGAAACACTCTTTTTGTAGTATCTGGATGTGGACATTTGCAGCGCTTTCAGGCCTAAGGTGAAAAAGGAAATATCTTCCCCTGAAAACTAGACAGAAGCATTCTCAGAATCTTATTTGTGATGTGCGCCCTCAACTAACAGTGTTGAAGCTTTCTTTTGATGGAGCAGTTTTGGAACACTCTTTTTGTAAAATCTGCAAGAGGATATTTGGATAGCTTTGAGGATTTCGTTGGAAACGGGATTGTCTTCATATAAACTCTAGACAGAAGCATTCTCAGAAGCGTCATTGGGATGTTTCAATTGAAGTCACAGTGTTGAACAGTCCCTTTCATAGAGCAGGTTTGAAACACTCTTTTTGTAGTATCTGGATGTGGACATTTGGAGCGCTTTCAGGCCTATGGTGAAAAAGGAAATATCTTCCCCTGAAAACTAGACAGAAGCATTCTCAGAAACTTATTTGTGATGTGCGCCCTCAACTAACAGTGTTGTAGCATTCTTTTGATAGAGCAGTTTTGAAACACTCTTTTTGTGGAATCTGCAAGTGGATATTTGTCTAGCTTTGAGGATTTCGTTGGAAACGGGATTACATATAAAAAGCAGACAGCAGTAGTCTCAGAAACTTATCTGTGATGTGCGCCCTCAACTAACAGTGTTGAAGCTTTCTTTTGATAGAGCAGTTTTGAAACATTCTTTTTGTAAAATCTGCAAGAGGATATTTGGATAGCTTTGAGGATTTCGTTGGAAACGGGATTGTCTTCATATTAACCCTAGACAGTAGCATTCTCAGAAGCTTCATTGGGATGTTTCAATTTAAGTCACAGTGTTGAACAGTCCCTTTCATAGAGCAGGTTTGAAACACTGTTTTTGTAGCATCTGGAAGTGGACATTTGGAGCGTTCTCAGGACTATGGTGAAAAAGGAAATATCTTCCAATAAAAGCTAGATAGAAGCAATGTCAGAAACTTTTTCATGATGTATCTACTCAGCTAACAGAGTTGAACCTTTCTTTTGAGAGAGCAGTTTTGAAACACTCTTTTTGTGGAATCTGGAAGTGGATATTTGTCTAGCTTTGAGGATTTCGTTGGAAACGGGATTACATATAAAAAGCAGACAGCAGCATTCCCAGAATCTTCTTTGTGATGTTTGCATTAAAGTCACAGAGTTGAACATTCCCTTTCATAGGGCAGGTTTGAAACACTCTTTTTGTAGTATCTGGATGTGGACATTTGGAGCGCTTTCAGGCCTATGGTGAAAAAGGAAATATCTTCCCCTGAAAACTAGACAGAAGCATTCTCAGAATCTTATTTGTGATGTGCGCCCTCAACTAACAGAGTTGAAGCTTTCTTTTGATAGAGCAGTTTTGAAACACTCTTTTTGTAAAATCTGCAAGAGGATATTTGGATAGCTTTGAGGATTTCGTTGGAAACGGGATTGTCTTCATATAAACTCTAGACAGAAGCATTCTCAGAAGCTTCATTGGGATGTTTCAATTGAAGTCACAGTGTTGAACAGTCCCTTTCATAGAGCAGGTTTGAAACACTCTTTTTGTAGTATCTGGATGTGGACATTTGGAGCGCTTTCAGGCCTATGGTGAAAAAGGAAATATCTTCCCCTGAAAACTAGACAGAAAGCATTCTCAGAAACTTATTTGTTATGTGCGCCCTCAACTAACAGTGTTGAAGCATTCTTTTGATAGAGCAGTTTTGAAACACTCTTTTTGTGGAATCTGCAAGTGGATATTTGTCTAGCTTTGAGGATTTCGTTGGAAACGGGATTACATATAAAAAGCAGACAGCAGCATTCTCAGTAAACTTATTTGTGATGTGCGCCCTCAACTAACAGTGTTGAACCTTTCTTTTGATAGAGCAGTTTTGAAACACTCTTTTTGTAATATCTGCAAGAGGATATTTGGATAGCTTTGAGGATTTCGTTGGAAACGGGATTGTCTTCATATAAACTCTAGACAGAAGCATTCTCAGAAGCTTCATTGGGATGTTTCAATTGAAGTCACAGTGTTGAACAGTCCCTTTCATAGAGCAGGTTTGAAACACTCTTTTTGTAGTATCTGGAAGTGGACATTTGGAGAGATCTCAGGAATACGGTGATAAAGGAAATATCTTCCAATAAAAGCTAGATAGAAGCAATGTCAGAAACTTTTTCATGATGTATCTACTCAGCTAACAGAGTTGAACCTTCCTTTGAAAGAGCAGTTTTGAAACACTCTTTTTGTGGAATCTGCAAGTGGATATTTGTCTGGCTTTGAGGATTTCGTTGGAAACGGGATTACATATAAAAAGCAGACAGCAGCATTCCCAGAAACTTCTTTGTGATGTTTGCATTCAAGTCACAGAGTTGAACATTCCCTTTCATAGAGCAGGTTTGAAACACTCTTTTTGTAGTATCTGGATGTGGACATTTGCAGCGCTTTCAGGCCTAACGTGAAAAAGGAAATATCTTCCCCTGAAAACTAGACAGAAGAATTCTCAGAATCTTATTTGTGATGTGCGCCCTCAACTAACAGTGTTGAAGCTTTCTTTTGATAGAGCAGTTTTGAAACACTCTTTTTGTAAAATCTGCAAGAGGATATTTGGATAGCTTTGAGGATTTCGTTGGAAACGGGATTGTCTTCATATAAACTCTACACAGAAGCATTCTCAGAAGCTTCATTGGGATGTTTCAATTGAAGTCACAGTGTTGAACAGTCCCTTTCATAGAGCAGGTTTGAAACACTCTTTTTGTAGTATCTGGATGTGGACATTTGGAGCGCTTTCAGGCCTATGGTGAAAAAGGAAATATCTTCCCCTGAAAACTAGACAGAAGCATTCTCAGAAACTTATTTGTGATGTGCGCCCTCAACTAACAGTGTTGAAGCATTCTTTTGATAGAGCAGTATTGAAACACTCTTTTTGTGGAATCTGCAAGTGGATATTTGTCTAGCTTTGAGGATTTCGTTGGAAACGGGATTACATATAAAAAGCAGACAGCTAAGCATTCTCCGAAACTTATTTGTGATGGGCGCCCTCAACTAACAGTGTTGAAGCTTTCTTTTGATAGAGCAGTTTTGAAACACTCTTTTTGTAATATCTGCAAGAGGATATTTGGATAGCTTTCAGGATTTCGTTGGAAACGGGATTGTCTTCATATAAACTCTAGACATAAGCATTCTCAGAAGCTTCATTGGGATGTTTCAGTTGAAGTCACAGTGTTGAACAGTCCCTTTCATAGAGCAGGTTTGAAACACTCTTTTTGTAGTATCTGGAAGTGGACATTTGGAGCGCTCTCAGGACTGCGGTGAAAAAGGAAATATCTTCCAATAAAAGCTAGATAGAAGCAATGTCAGAAACATTTTCATCATGTATCTACTCAGCTAACAGAGTTGAACCTTTCTTTTGAGAGAGCAGTTTTGAAACACTCTTTTTGTGGAATCTGCAAATGGATATTTGTCTAGCTTTAAGGATTTCACTGGAAACGGGATTATATATAAAAAGCAGACAGCAGCATTCCCAGAAACTACTTTGTGATATTTGCATTCAAGTCACAGACTTGAACATTCCCTTTCATAGAGCAGGTTTGAAACACTCTTTTTGTAGTATCTGGATGTGGACATTTGGAGCGCTTTCAGGCCTATGGTGAAAAAGGAAATATCTTCCCCTGAAAACTAGACAGAAGCATTCTCAGAAACTTATTTGTGATGTGCGCCCTCAACTAACAGTGTTGAAGCTTTCTTTTGATAGAGCAGTTTTGAAACACTCTTTTTGTAAAATCTGCAAGAGGATATTTGGATAGCTTTGAGGATTTCGGTGGAAACGGGATTGTCTTCATATAAACTCTAGACAGAAAGCATTCTCAGAAGCTTCATTGGGATGTTTCAATTGAAGTCACAGTGTTGAACAGTCCCTTTCATAGAGCAGGTTTGAAACACTCTTTTTGTAGTATCTGGATGTGGACATTTGGAGCGCTTTCAGGCCTATGGTGAAAAAGGAAATATCTTCCCCTGAAAACTAGACAGAAGCATTCTCAGAAACTTATTTGTGATGTGCGCCCTCAACTAACAGTGTTGAAGCTTTCTTTTGATAGAGCAGTTTTGAAACACTCTTTTTGTGGAATCTGCAAGTGGATATTTGTCTAGCTTTGAGGATTTCGTTGGAAACGGGATTACATATAAAAAGCAGACAGCAGCATTCTCAGAAACTTATTTGTGATGTGCGCCCTCAACTAACAGTGTTGAAGCTTTCTTTTGATAGAGCAGTTTTGAAACACTCTTTTTGTAATATCTGCAAGAGGATATTTGGATAGCTTTGAGGATTTCGTTGGAAACGGGATTAATTATACAAAGCAGACAGCAGCATTCTCAGAAGCTTCATTGGGATGTTTCAATTGAAGTCAGAGTGTTGAACAGTCCCTTTCTTAGAGCAGGTTTGAAACACTCTTTTTGTAGTATCTGGAAGTGGACATTTGGAGAGTCCTCAGGAATACGGTGAAAAAGGAAATATCTTCCAATAAAAGCTAGATAGAAGCAATGTCAGAAACTTTTTCATGATGTATCTACTCAGCTAACAGAGTTGAACCTTTCTTTTGAGAGAGCAGTTTTGAAACACTCTTTTTGTGGAATCTGCAAGTGGATATTTGTCTATCTTTGAGGATTTCGTTGGAATCGGGATTACATATAAAAAGCAGACAGCAGCATTCCCAGAAACTTCTTTGTGATGTTTGTATTCAAGTCACAGAGTTGAACATTCCCTTTCATAGAGCAGGTTTGAAACACTCTTTTTGTAGTATCTGGATGTGGACATTTGGAGCGCTTTCAGGCCTATGGTGAAAAAGGAAATATCTTCCCCTGAACACTAGACAGAAGCATTCTCAGAAACTTATTTGTGATGTGCGCCCTCAACTAACAGTGTTGAACCTTTCTTTTGGTAGAGCAGTTTTGAAACACTCTTTTTGTAAAATCTGCAAGAGGATATTTGGATAGATTTGAGGATTTCGTTGGAAACGGGATTGTCTTCATATAAAATCTAGACAGAAGCATTCTCAGAAGCTTCATTGGGATGTTTCAATTGAAGTCACAGTGTTGAACAGTCCCTTTCATAGAGCATGTTTGAAACACTCTTTTTGTAGTATCTGGAAGTGGACATTTGGAGCGTTCTCAGGACTACGGTGAAAAAGGAAATATCTTCCAAATAAAGCTAGATAGAAGCAATGTCAGAAAATTGTTCATGATGTATCTACTCAGCTAACAGAGTTGAACCTTTCTTTTGAGAGAACAGTTTTGAAACACACTTTTTGTGGAATATGCAAGTGGATATTTGTCTAGCTTTGAGGATTTCGTTGGAAACGGGATTACATATAAAAGGCAGACAGAAGCATTCCCAGAAACTTCTTTGTGATGTTTGCATTCAAGTCACAGAGTTGAACATTCCCTTTCATAGAGCAGGTTTGAAACACTCTTTTTGTAGTATCTGGATGTGGACATTTGGAGCGCTTTCAGGCCTATTGTGAAAAAGGAAATATCTTCCCCTGAAAACTAGACAGAAGCATTCTCAGAAACTTATTTGTGATGTGCACCCTCAACTAACAGTGTTGAAGCTTTCTTTTGACAGAGCAGTTTGAAACACTCTTTTTGTAAAATCTGCAAGAGGATATTTGGATTGCTTTGAGGATTTCGGTGGAAGTGGGATTGTCTTCATATAAACTCTAGACAGTAGCATTCTCAGAAGCTTCATTGGGATGTTTCAATTGAAGTCACAGTGTTGAACAGTCCCTTTCATAGAGCAGGTTTGAAACACTCTTTTTGTAGTATCTGGATGTGGACATTTCGAGCGCTTTCAGGCCTATGGTGAAAAAGGAAATATCTTCCCCTGAAAACTAGACAGAAGCATTCTCAGAAACTTATTTGTGATGTGCGCCCTCAACTAACAGTGTTGAAGCATTCTTTTGATAGAGCAGTTTTGAAACACTCTTTTTGTGGAATCTGCAAGTGGATATTTGTCTAGCTTTGAGGATTTCGTTGGAAACGGGATTACATATAAAAAGCAGACAGCAGCATTCTCAGAATCTTATTTGTGATGTGCGCCCTCAACTAACAGTGTTGAAGCTTTCTTTTGATAGAGCAGTTTTGAAACACTCTTTTCGTAAAATCTGCAAGAGGATATTTGGACAGCTTTGAGGATTTCGTTGGAAACGGGATTGTCTTCATATAAACTCTAGACAGAAGCATTCTCAGAAGCTTCATTGGGATGTTTCAATTGCAGTCACAGTGTTGAACAGTCCCTTTCATAGAGCAGGTTTGAAACACTCTTTTTGTAGTATCTGCAAGTGGACATTTGGAGAGATCTCAGGAATACGGTGATAAAGGAAATATCTTCCAATAAAAGCTAGATAGAAGCAATGTCAGAAACTTTTTCATGATGTATCTACTCAGCTAACAGAGTTGAACCTTTCTTTTGAGAGAGCAGTTTTGAAACACTCTTTTTGTGGAATCTGCAAGTGGATATTTGTCTAGCTTTGAGGATTTCGTTGGAAACGGGATTACATATAAAAAGCAGACAGCAGCATTCCCAGTAACTTCTTTGTGATGTTTGCATTCAAGTCACAGAGTTGAATATTCCCTTTCATAGAGCAGGTTTGAAACACTCTTTTTGTAGTATCTGGATGTGGACATTTGGAGCGCTTTCAGGCCTATGGTGAAAAAGGAAATATCTTCCCCTGAAAACTAGACAGAAGCATTCTCAGAAACTTATTTGTGATGTGCGCCCTCAACTAACAGTGTTGAAGCTTTCTTTTGATAGAGCAGTTTTGAAACACTCTTTTTGTAATATCTGCAAGAGGATATTTGGATAGCTTTGAGGATTTCGTTGGAAACGGGATTGTCTTCATATAAACTCTAGGCAGAAGCATTCTCAGAAGCTTCATTGGGATGTTTCAATTGAAGTCACAGTGTTGAACAGTCCCTTTCATAGAGCAGGTTTGAAACACTCTTTTTGTAGTATCTGGATGTGGACATTTGGAGCGCTTTCAGGCCTATGGTGAAAAAGGAAATATCTTCCCCTGAAAACTAGACAGAAGCATTCTCAGAAACTTATTTGTGATGTGCGCCCTCAACTAACAGTGTTGAAGCTTTCTTTTGATAGAGCAGTTTTGAAACACTCTTTTTGTGGAATCTGCAAGTGGATATTTTTCTAGCTTTGAGGATTTCGTTGGAAACGGGATTACATATAAAAAGCAGACAGCAGCATTCTCAGAAACTTATTTGTGATGTGCGCCCTCAACTAACAGTGTTGAAGCTTTATTTTGATAGAGCAGTTTTGAAACACTCTTTTTGTAATATCTGCAAGAGAATATTTGGATAGCTTTGAGGATTTCGTTGGAAACGGGATTGTCTTCATATAAACTCTAGAAAGAAGCATTCTCAGAAGCTTCATTGGGATGTTTCAATTGAAGTCACAGTGTTGAACAGTCCCTTTCATAGAGCAGGTTTGAAACACTCTTTTTGTAGTATCTGGAAGTGGACATTTGGAGAGATCTCAGGAATACGGTGATAAAGGAAATATCTTCCAATAAAAGCTAGATAGAAGCAATGTCAGAAACTTTTTCATGATGTATCTACTCAGCTAACAGTAGTTGAACGTTTCTTTTGAGAGAGCAGTTTTGAAACACTCTTTTTGTGGAATCTGGAAGTGGATATTTGTCTAGCTTTGAGGATTTCGTTGGAAACGGGATTACATATAAAAAGCAGACAGCAGCATTCCCAGTAACTTCTTTGTGATGTTTGCATTCAAGTCACAGAGTTGAACATTCCCTTTCATAGAGCAGGTTTGAAACACTGTTTTTGTAGTATCTGGATGTGGACATTTGGAGCGCTTTCAGGCCTATGGTGAAAAAGGAAATATCTTCCCCTGAAAACTAGACAGAAGCATTCTCAGAACCTTATTTGTGATATGCGCTCTCAACTAACAGTGTTGAAGCTTTCTTTTGATAGAGCAGTTTTGAAACACTCTTTTTGTAAAATCTGCAAGAGGATATTTGGATAGCTTTGAGGATTTCGTTGGAAACGGGATTGTCTTCATATAAACTCTAGACAGAAGCATTCTCAGAAGCTTCATTGGGATGTTTCAATTGAAGTTACAGTGTTGAACAGTCTCTTTCATAGAGCAGGTTTGAAACACTCTTTTTGTAGTATCTGGATGTGGACATTTGGAGCGCTTTCAGGCCTATGGTTTAAAAGGAAATATCTTCCCCTGAAAACTAGACAGAAGCATTCTCAGAAACTTATTTGTGATGTGCGCTCTCAACTAACAGTGTTGAAGCATTCTTTTGATAGAGCAGTTTTGAAACACTCTTTTTGTGGAATCTGCAAGTGGATATTTGTCTAGCTTTGAGGATTTCGTTGGAAACGGGATTACATATAAAAAGCAGACAGCAGCATTCTCAGAAACTTATTTGTGATGTGCGCCCTCAACTAACAGTGTTGAAGCTTTCTTTTGATAGAGCAGTTTTGAAACACTCTTTTTGTAATATCTGCAAGAGGATATTTGGATAGCTTTGAGGATTTCGTTGGAAACGGGATTAATTATACAAAGCAGACAGCAGCATTCTCAGAAGCTTCATTGGGATGTTTCAATTGAAGTCACAGTGTTGAACAGTTCCTTTCATAGAACAGGTTTGAAACACTCTTTTTGTAGTATCTGGAAGTGGACATTTTGAGCGCTGTCAGGACTATGGTGAAAAAGGAAATATCTTCCAATAAAAGCTACACAGAAGCAGTGTCAGAAACTTTTTCATGATGTATCTACTCAGCTAACAGAGTTGAACCTTTCCTTTTAGAGAGCAGTTTTGAAACACTCTTTTTGTGGAATCTGCAAGTGGATATTTGTCTAGCTTTGAGGATTTCGTTGGAAACGGGATTACATATGAAAAGCAGACAGCAGCATTCCCAGAATCTTCTTTGTGATGTTTGCATTCAAGTCACAGAGTTGAACATTCCCTTTCATAGAGCACGTTTGAAACACTCTTTTTGTAATATCTGGATGTGGACATTTGGAGCGCTTTCAGGCCTATGGTGAAAAAGGAAATATCTTCCCCTGAAAACTAGACAGAAGCATTCTCAGAATCTTATTTGTGATGTGCGCCCTCAACTAACAGTGTTGAAGCTTTCTTTTGATAGAGCAGTTTTGAAACACTCCTTTTGTAAAATTTGCAAGAGGATATTTGGATAGCTTTGAGGATTTCATTGGAAACGGGATTGTCTTCATATAAACTCTAGACAGAAGCATTCTCAGAAGCTTCATTGGGATGTTTCAATTGAAGTCACAGTGTTGAACAGTCCCTTTCATAGAGCAGGTTTGAAACACTCTTTTTGTAGTATCTGGATGTGGACATTTGGAGCGCTTTCAGGCCTATGGTGAAAAAGGAAATATCTTCCCCTGAAAACTAGACAGAAGCATTCTCAGAAACTTATTTGTGATGTGCGCCTTCAACTAACAGTGTTGAAGCATTCTTTTGATAGAGCAGTTTTGAAACACTCTTTTTGTGGAATCTGCAAGTGGATATTTGTCTAGCTTTGAGGATTTCGTTGGAAACGGGATTACATATAAAAAGCAGACAGCAGCATTCTCAGTAAACTTATTTGTGATGTGCGCCCTCAACTAACAGTGTTGAACCTTTCTTTTGATAGAGCAGTTTTGAAACACTCTTTTTGTAATATCTGCAAGAGGATATTTGGATAGCTTTGAGGATTTCGTTGGAAACGGGATTGTCTTCATATAAACTCTAGACAGAAGCATTCTCAGAAGCTTCATTGGGATGTTTCAACTGAAGTCACAGTGTTGAACAGTCCCTTTCATAGAGCAGGTTTGAAACACTCTTTTTGTAGTATCTGGAAGTGGACATTTGGAGCGCTCTCAGGACTACGGTGAAAAAGGAAATATCTTCCAATAAAAGCTAGATAGAAGCAATGTCAGAAACTTTTTCATGATGTATCTACTCAGCTAACAGAGTTGAACCTTTCTTTTGAGAGAGCAGTTTTGAAACACTCTTTTTGTGGAATCTGCAAGTGGATATTTGTCTAGCTTTGAGGATTTCGTTGGAAACCGGATTACATTTAAAAAGCAGACAGCAGCATTCCCAGAATCTTGTTTGTGATGTTTGCATTCAACTCACAGAGTTGAACATTCCCTTTCAGAGAGCAGGTTTGAAACACTCTTTTTATAGTATCTGGATGTGGACATTTGGAGCGCTTTCAGGCCTATGGTGAAAAAGGAAATATCTTCTCCTGAAAACTAGACAGAAGCATTCTCAGAATCTTATTTGTGATGTGCTCCCTCAACTAACAGTGTTGAAGCTTTCTTTTGATAGAGCAGTTTTGAAACACTCTTTTCGTAAAATCTGCAAGAGGATATTTTGATAGATTTGAGGATTTCGTTGGAAACGGGATTTTCTTCATATAAACTCTAGACAGAAGCATTCTCAGAAGCTTCATTGGGATGTTTCAATTGAAGTCACAGTGTTGAACAGTCCCTGTCATAGAGCAGGTTTGAAACACTCTTTTTGTAGTATCTGGAACTGGACATTTGGAGAGATCTCAGGAATACGGTGATAAAGGAATTATCTTCCAATAAAAGCTAGATAGAAGCATTCTCAGAATCTTATTTGTGATGTGCGCCCTCAACTAACAGTGTTGAAGCTTTCTTTTGATAGAGCAGTTTTGAAACACTCTTTTTGTAATATCTGCAAGAGGATATTTGGATAGCTTTGAGGATTTCGTTGGAAACGGGATTAATTATAAAAAGCAGACAGCAGAATTCTCAGAATCTTATTTGTGATGTGCGCCCTCAACTAACAGTGTTGAACCTTTCTTTTGATAGAGCAGTTTTGAAACACTCTTTTTGTAATATCTGCAAGAGGATATTTGGATAGCTTTGAGGATTTCGTTGGAAACGGGATTGTCTTCATATAAACTCTAGACAGAAGCATTCTCAGAAGCTTCATTGGGATGTTTCAATTGAAGTCACAGTGTTGAACAGTTCCTTTCATAGAACAGGTTTGAAACACTCTTTTTGTAGTATCTGGAAGTGGACATTTGGAGCGCTCTCAGGACTATGGTGAAAAAGGAAATATCTTCCAATAAAAGCTACATAGAAGCAATGTCAGAAACTTTTTCATGATGTATCTACTCAGCTAACAGAGTTGAACCTTTCCTTTGAGAGAGCAGTTTTGAAACACTCTTTTTGTGGAATCTGCAAGTGGATATTTGTCTAGCTTTGAGGATTTCGTTGGAAACGTGATTACATATAAAAAGCAGACAGCAGCATTCCCAGAAACTTCTTTGTGATGTTTGCATTCAAGTCACAGAGTTGAACATTCCCTTTCATAGAGCAGGTTTGAAACACTCTTTTTGTAGTATCTGGATGTGGACATTTGGAGCGCTTTCAGGCCTATGGTGAAAACGGAAATATCTTCCCCTGAAAACTAGACAGAAGCATTCTCAGAAACTAATTTGTGATGTGCGCCCTCAACTAACAGTGTTGAAGCTTTCTTTTGATAGAGCACTTTTGAAACACTCTTTTTATAATATCTGCAAGAGGATATTTGGATATCTTTGAGGATTTCGTTGGAAACGGGATTGTCTTCATATAAACTCTAGACAGAAGCATTCTCAGAAGCTTCATTGGGATGTTTCAATTGAAGTCACAGTGTTGAACAGTCCCTTTCATAGAGCAGGTTTGAAACACTCTTTTTGTAGTATCTGGATGTGGACATTTCGAGCGCTTTCAGGCCTATGGTGAAAAAGGAAATATCTTCCCCTGAAAACTAGACAGAAGCATTCTCAGAAACTTATTTGTGATGTGCGCCCTCAACTAACAGTGTTGAAGCTTTCTTTTGATAGAGCAGTTTTGAAACACTCTTTTTGTGGAATCTGCAAGTGGATATTTGTCTAGCTTTGAGGATTTCGTTGGAAACGGGATTACATATAAAAAGCAGACAGCAGCATTCTCAGTAAACTTATTTGTGATGTGCGCCCTCAACTAACAGTGTTGAACCTTTCTTTTGATAGAGCAGTTTTGAAACACTCTTTTTGTAATATCTGCAAGAGGATATTTGGATAGCTTTGAGGATTTCGTTGGAAACGGGATTGTCTTCATATAAACTCTAGACAGAAGAATTCTCAGAATCTTCATTGGGATGTTTCAATTGAAGTCACAGTGTTGAACAGTCCCTTTCATAGAGCAGGTTTGAAACACTCTTTTTGTAGTATCTGGAAGTGGACATTTGGAGCGCTCTCAGGACTACGGTGAAAAAGGAAATATCTTCCAAATAAAGCTAGATAGAAGCAATGTCAGAATCTTTTTCATGATGTGTCTACTCAGCTAACAGAGTTGAACCTTCCTTTGAGAGAGCAGTTTTGAAACACTCTTTTTGTGGAATCTGCAAGTGGATATTTGTCTAGCTTTGAGGATTTCGTTGGAAACGGGATTACATATAAAAAGCAGACAGCAGCATTCCCAGAAACTTCTTTGTGATGTTTGCATTCAAGTCACAGAGTTGAACATTCCCTTTCATAGAGCAGGTTTGAAACACTCTTTTTGTAGTATCTGGAAGTGGACATTTGGAGAGATCTCAGGAATACGGTGATAAAGGAAATATCTTCCAATAAAAGCTAGATAGAAGCAATGTCAGAAACTTTTTCATGATGTACCTACTCAGCTAACAGAGTTGAACCTTTCTTTTGAGAGAGCAGTTTTGAAACACTCTTTTTGTGGAATCTGCAAGTGGATATTTGTCTAGCTTTGAGGATTTCGTTGGAAACGGGATTACATATAAAAAGCAGACAGCTGCATTCCCAGAAACTTCTTTGTGATGTTTGCATTCAAGTCACAGAGTTTAACATTCCCTTTCATAGAGCAGGTTTGAAACACTCTTTTTGTAGTATCTGGATGTGGACATTTGGAGCGCTTTCAGGCCTATGGTGAAAAAGGAAATATCTTCCCCTGAAAACTAGACAGAAGCATTCTCAGAATCTTATTTGTGATGTGCGCCCTCAACTAACACTGTTGAAGCTTTCTTTTGATAGAGCAGTTTTGAAACACTCTTTTCGTAAAATCTGCAAGAGGATATTTGGATAGCTTTGAGGATTACGTTGGAAACGGGATTGTCTTCATATAAACTCTAGACAGAAGCATTCTCAGAAGCTTCATTGGGATGTTTCAATTGAAGTCACAGTATTGAACAGTCCCTTTCATAGAGCAGGTTTGAAACACTCTTTTTGTAGTATCTGGATGTGGACATTTGGAG
Source organism: Homo sapiens (assembly GCF_000001405.40). Taxonomy (NCBI): domain Eukaryota; kingdom Metazoa; phylum Chordata; class Mammalia; order Primates; family Hominidae; genus Homo; species Homo sapiens. The sequence continues at coordinate 93,937,722 of NC_000002.12, forward strand.
CGCTTTCAGGCCTATGGTTTGAAAGGAAATATCTTCCCCTGAAAACTAGACAGAAGCATTCCCAGAAACTTCTTTGTGATGTTTGCATTCAAGTCACAGAGTTGAACATTGCCTTTCATAGAGCAGGTTTGAAACACTCTTTTTGTAGTATCTGGATTTGGACATTTGGAGCGCTTTCAGGCCTATGGTGAAAAAGGAAATATCTTCCACTGAAAACTAGACAGAAGTATTCTCAGAAACTTATTTGTGATGTGCGCCCTCAACTAACAGTGTTGAAGCTTTCTTTTGATAGAGCAGTTTTGCAACATTCTTTTTGTAAAATCTGCAAGAGGATATTTGGATAGCTTTGAGGATTTGGTTGGAAACGGTATTGTCTTCATATTAACCCTAGGCAGTACAATTCTCAGAAGCTTCATTGGGATGTTTCAATTGAAGTCACAGTGTTGAACAGTCCCTTTCATAGAGCAGGTTTGAAACACTCTTTTTGTAGCATCTGGAAGTGGACATTTGGAGCGTTCTCAGGACTACGGTGAAAAAGGAAATATCTTCCAATAAAAGCTAGATAGAAGCAATGTCAGAAAATTTTTCATGATGTATCTACTCAGCTAACAGAGTTGAACCTTTCTTTTGACAGAGCAGTTTTGAAACACTCTTTTTGTGGCATCTGCAAGTGGATATTTGTCTAGCTTTGAGGATTTCGTTGGAAACGGGATTACATATAAAAAGCAGACAGCAGCATTCCCAGTAACTTCTTTGTGATATTTGCATTCAAGTCACAGACTTGAACATTCCCTTTCATAGAGCAGGTTTGAAACACTCTTTTTGTAGTATCTGGATGTGGACATTTGCAGCGCTTTCAGGCCTATGGTGAAAAAGGAAATATCTTCCCCTGAAAACTAGACAGAAGCATTCTCAGAATCTTATTTCTGATGTGCGCCCTCAACTAACAGTGTTGAAGCTTTCTTTTGATAGAGCAGTTTTGAAACACTCTTTTCGTAAAATCTGCAAGAGGATATTTTGATAGCTTTCAGGATTTCGTTGGAAACGGGATTGTCTTCATATAAACTCTAGACAGAAGAATTCTCAGAAGCTTCATTGGGATGTTTCAATTGAAGTCACAGTGTTGAACAGTCCCTTTCATAGAGCAGGTTTGAAACACTCTTTTTGTAGTATCTGGATGTGGACATTTGGAGCTTTTGCAGGCCTATAGTTTAAAAGGAAATATCTTCCCCTGAAAACTAGACAGAAGCATTCTCAGAAACTTATTTGTGATGTGCGCCCTCAACTAACAGTGTTGAAGCATTCTTTTGATAGAGCAGTTTTGAAACACTCTTTTTGTGGAATCTGCAAGTGGATATTTGTCTAGCTTTGAGGATTTCGTTGGAAACGGGATTACATATAAAAAGCAGACAGCAGCATTCTCAGAAACTTATTTGTGATGTGCGCCCTCAACTAACAGTGTTGAAGCTTTATTTTGATAGAGCAGTTTTGAAACACTCTTTTTGTAATATCTGCAAGAGAATATTTGGATAGCTTTGAGGATTTCGTTGGAAACGGGATTGTCTTCATATAAACTCTAGAAAGAAGCATTCTGAGAAGCTTCATTGGGATGTTTCAATTGAAGTCACAGTGTTGAACAGTCCCTTTCATAGAGCAGGTTTGAAACACTCTTTTTGTAGTATCTGGAAGTGGACATTTGGAGAGATCTCAGGAATACGGTGATAAAGGAAATATCTTCCAATGAAAGCTACATAGAAGCAATGTCAGAAACTTTTTCATGATGTATCTACTCAGCTAACAGAGTTGAACCTTTCCTTTGAGAGAGCAGTTTTGAAACACTCTTTTTGTGGAATCTGCAAGTGGATATTTGTCTAGCTTTGAGGATTTCGTTGGAAACGGGATTATCTTCATATAAACTCTAGACAGAAGCATTCTCAGAAGCTTCATTGGGATGTTTCAATTGAAGTCACAGTGTTGAACAGTCCCTTTCATAGAGCAGGTTTGAAACACTCTTTTTGTAGTATCTGGATGTGGACATTTGGAGCGCTTTCAGGCCTATGGTTTAAAAGGAAATATCTTCCCCTGAAAACTAGACAGAAGCATTCTCAGAAACTTATTTGTGATGTGCGCCCTCAACTAACAGTGTTGAAGCATTCTTTTGATAGAGCAGTTTTGAAACACTCTTTTTGTGGAATCTGCAAGTGGATATTTGTCTAGCTTTGAGGATTTCGTTGTTATCGGGATTACATATAAAAAGCAGACAGCAGCATTCTCAGAAACTTATTTGTGATGTGCGCCCTCAACTAACAGTGTTGAAGCTTTCTTTTGATAGAGCAGTTTTGAAACACTCTTTTTGTAATATCTGCAAGAGGATATTTGGATAGCTTTGAGGATTTCGTTGGAAACGGGATTAATTATACAAAGCAGACAGCAGCATTCTCAGAAGCTTCATTGGGATGTTTCAATTGAAGTCACAGTGTTGAACAGTCCCTTTCATAGAGCAGGTTTGAAACACTCTTTTTGTAGTATCTGGAAGTGGACATTTGGAGCGCTCTCAGGACTACGGTGAAAAAGGAAATATCTTCCAATAAAAGCTAGATAGAAGCAATGTCAGAAACTTTTTCATGATGTATCTACTCAGCTAACAGAGTTGAACCTTTCTTTTGAGAGAGCCGTTTTGAAACACTCTTTTTGTGGAATCTGCAAGTGGATATTTGTCTAGCTTTGAGGATTTCTTTGGAAACGGGATTATATATAAAAAGCAGACAGCAGCATTCCCAGAAACTTCTTTGTGATGTTTGCATTCAAGTCACAGTATTTGAACATTCCCTTTCATAGAGCAGGTTTGAAACACACTTTTTGTAGTATCTGTATGTGGACATTTGCAGCGCTTTCAGGCCTAAGGTGAAAAAGGAAATATCTTCCCCTGAAAACTAGACAGAAGCATTCTCAGAAACTTATTTGTGATGTGCGCCCTCAACTAACAGTGTTGAACCTTTCTTTTGATAGAGCAGTTTTGAAACACTCTTTTTGTAATATCTGCAAGAGGATATTTGGATAGCTTTGAGGATTTCGTTGGAAACGGGATTGTCTTCATATAAACTCTAGACAGAAGCATTCTCAGAAGCGTCATTGGGATATTTCAATTGAAGTCACAGTGTTGAACAGTCCCTTTCATAGAGCAGGTTTGAAACACTCTTTTTGTAGTATCTGGATGTGGACATTTGGAGCGCTTTCAGGCCTATGGTTTAAAAGGAAATATCTTCCCCTGAAAACTAGACAGAAGCATTCTCAGAAACTTATTTTGATGTGCGCCCTCAAGTAACAGTGTTGAACATTTCTTTTGATAGAGCAGTTTTGAAACACTCTTTTTGTAGAATCTGCAAGTGGATATTTGGATAGCCTAGAGGATTTCGTTGGAAACGGGAATATGTCCATACAAAACCTAGACAGAAGCATTCTCAGAAACTTATTTGTGATGTGCGCCCTCAACTAACAGTGTTGAAGCTTTCTTTTGATAGAGCAGTTTTGAAACACTCTTTTTGTAATATCTGCAAGAGGATATTTGGATAGCTTTGAGGATTTCGTTGGAAACGGGATTAATTATACAAAGCAGACAGCAGCATTCTCAGAAGCTTCATTGGGATGTTTCAATTGAAGTCACAGTGTTGAACAGTCCCTTTCATAGAGCAGGTTTGAAACACTCTTTTTGTAGTATCTGGAAGTGGACATTTGGAGAGATCTCAGGAATACGGTGATAAAGGAAATATCTTCCAATAAAAGCTAGATAGAAGCAATGTCAGAAACTTTTTCATGATGTATCTACTCAGCTAACGGAGTTGAACCTTTCTTTTGAGAGAGCAGTATTGAAACACTCTTTTTGTGGAATCTGCAAGTGGATATTTGTCTAGCTTTGAGGATTTCGTTGGAAACGGGATTACATATAAAAAGCAGACAGCAGCATTCCCAGAAACTTCTTTGTGATGTTTGCATTCAAGTCACAGAGTTGAACATTCCCTTTCAGAGAGCAGGTTTGAAACACTCTTTTTGTAGTATCTGGATGTGGACATTTGGAGCGCTTTCAGCCCTATGGTGAAAAAGGAAATATCTTCCCCTGAAAACTAGACAGAAGCATTCTCAGAATCTTATTTGTGATGTGCGCCCTCAACTAACAGTGTTGAAGCTTTCTTTTGATAGAGCAGTTTTGAAACACTCTTTTTGTAAAATCTGCAAGAGGATATTTGGATAGCTTTGAGGATTTCGTTGGAAACGGGATTGTCTTCATATAAACTCTAGACAGAAGCATTCTCAGAAGCTTCATTGGGATGTTTCAATTGAAGTCACAGTGTTGAACAGTCCCTTTCATAGAGCAGGTTTGAAACACTCTTTTTGTAGTATCTGGATGTGGACATTTGCAGCGCTTTCAGGCCTAAGGTGAAAAAGGAAGTATCTTCCCCTGAAAACTAGACAGAAGCATTCTCAGAAACTTATTTGTGATGTGCGCCCTCAACTAACAGTGTTGAAGCATTCTTTTGATAGAGCAGTTTTGAAACACTCTTTTTGTGGAATCTGCAAGTGGATATTTGTCTAGCTTTGAGGATTTCGTTGGAAACGGGATTACATATAAAAAGCAGACAGCAGCATTCTCAGAAACTTATTTGTGATGTGCGCCCTCAACTAACAGTGTTGAAGCTTTATTTTGATAGAGCAGTTTTGAAACACTCTTTTTGTAATATCTGCAAGAGAATATTTGGATAGCTTTGAGGATTTCGTTGGAAACGGGATTGTCTTCATATAAACTCTAGAAAGAAGCATTCTCAGAAGCTTCATTGGGATGTTTCAATTGAAGTCACAGTGTTGAACAGTCCCTTTCATAGAGCAGGTTTGAAACACTCTTTTTGTAGTATCTGGAAGTGGACATTTGGAGCGCTCTCAGGACTGCGGTGAAAAAGGAAATATCTTCCAATAAAAGCTAGATAGAAGCAATGTCAGAAACTTTTTCATGATGTATCTACTCAGCTAACAGAGTTGAACCTTTCTTTTGAGAGAGCAGTTTTGAAACACTCTTTTTGTGGAATCTGCAAGTGGATATTTGTCTAGCATTGAGGATTTCGTTGGAAACGGGATTACATATAAAAAGCAGACAGCAGCATTCCCAGAAACTTCTTTGTGATGTTTGCATTCAAGTCACAGAGTTGAACATTCCCTTTCATAGAGCAGCTTTGAAACACTCTTTTTGTAGTATCTGGATGTGGACATTTGGAGCGCTTTCAGGCCTATGGTGAAAAAGGAAATATCTTCCCCTGAAAACTAGACAGAAGCATTCTCAGAATCTTATTTGTGATGTGCCCCCTCAACTAACAGTGTTGAAGCTTTCTTTTGATAGAGCAGTTTTGAAACACTCTTTTTGTAAAATCTGCAAGAGGATATTTGGATAGCTTTGAGGATTTCGTTGGAAACGGGATTGTCTTCATATAAACTCTAGAAAGAAGCATTCTCAGAAGCTTCATTGGGATGTTTCAATTGAAGTCACAGTGTTGAACAGTCCCTTTCATAGAGCAGGTTTGAACAACTCTTTTTGTAGTATCTGGAAGTGGAGATTTGGAGCGTTCTCAGGACTACGGTGAAAAAGGAAATATCTTCCAATAAAAGCTAGATAGAAGCAAAGTCAGAAACTTTTTAATGATCTATCTACTGAGCTAACAGAGTTGAACCTTTCTTTTGAGAGAGCAGTTTTGAAACACTCTTTTGGTGGAATCTGCAAGTGGATATTTGTCTAGCTTTGAGGATTGCGTTGGAAACGGGATTACATATAAAAAGCAGACAGCAGCATTCCCAGAAACTTCTTTGTGATGTTTGCATTCAAGTCACAGAGTTGAACATTCCCTTTCATAGAGCAGGTTGGAAACACTCTTTTTGTAGTATCTGGATGTGGACATTTGGAGCGCTTTCAGGCCTATGGTGAAAAAGGAAATATCTTCCCCTGAAAACTAGACAGAAGCATTCTCAGAAACTTATTTGTGATGTGCGCCCTCAACTAACAGTGTTGAAGCTTTCTTTTGATAGAGCAGTTTTGAAACACTCTTTTTGTAATATCTGCAAGAGGATATTTGGATAGCTTTGAGGATTTCGTTGGAAACGGGATTGTCTTCATATAAACTCTAGACAGAAAGCATTCTCAGAAGCTTCATTGGGATGTTTCAATTGAAGTCACAGTGTTGAACAGTCCCTTTCATAGAGCAGGTTTGAAACACTCTTTTTGTAGTATCTGGATGTGGACATTTGGAGCGCTTTCAGGCCTATGGTGAAAAAGGAAATATCTTCCCCTGAAAACTAGACAGAAGCATTCTCAGAATCTTATTTGTGATGTGCACCCTCAACTAACAGTGTTGAAGCTTTCTTTTGATAGAGCAGTTTTGAAACACTCTTTTTGTGGAATCTGCAAGTGGATATTTGTCTAGTTTTGAGGATTTCGTTGGAAACGGGATTACATATAAAAAGCAGACAGCTAAGCATTCTCCGAAACTTATTTGTGATGGGCGCCCTCAACTAACAGTGTTGAAGCTTTCTTTTGATAGAGCAGTTTTGAAACACTCTTTTTGTAATATCTGCAAGAGGATATTTGGATAGCTTTCAGGATTTCGTTGGAAACGGGATTGTCTTCATATAAACTCTAGACATAAGCATTCTCAGAAGCTTCATTGGGATGTTTCAATTGAAGTCACAGTGTTGAACAGTCCCTTTCATAGAGCAGGTTTGAAACACTCTTTTTGTAGTATCTGGAAGTGGACGTTTGGAGAGATCTCAGGAATACGGTGATAAAGGAAATATCTTCCAATAAAAGCTAGATAGAAGCAATGTCAGAAACTTTTTCATGATGTATCTACTCAGCTAACAGCGTTGAACCTTTCTTTTGAGAGAGCAGTTTTGAAACACTCTTTTTGTGGAATCTGCAAGTGGATATTTGTCTAGCTTTGAGGATTTCGTTGGAAACGGGATTACATATAAAAAGCAGACAGCAGCATTCCCAGAATCTTCTTTGTGATGTTTGCATTCAAGTCACAGAGTTGAACATTCCCTTTCATAGAGCAGGTTTGAAACACTCTTTTTGTAGTATCTCGATGTGGACATTTGGAGCGCTTTCAGGCCTATGGTGAAAAAGGAAATATCTTCTCCTGAAAACTAGACAGAAGCATTCTCAGAATCTTATTTGTGATGTGCGCCCTCAACTAACAGTGTTGAAGCTTTATTTTGATAGAGCAGTTTTGAAACACTCTTTTTGTAAAATCTGCAAGAGGATATTTGGATAGCTTTGAGGATTTCGTTGGAAACAGGATTGTCTTCATATAAACTCTAGACAGAAGCATTCACAGAAGCCTCATTGGGATGTTTCAATTGAAGTCACAGTGTTGAACAGTCCCTTTCATAGAGCAGGTTTGAAACACTCTTTTTGTAGTATCTGGATGTGGACATTTGGAGCGCTTTCAGGCCTATGGTGAAAAAGGAAATATCTTCCTCTGAAAACTAGACAGAAGCATTCTCAGAAACTTATTTGTGATGTGCGCCCTCAACTAACAGTGTTGAAGCTTTCTTTTGATAGAGCAGTTTTGAAACACTCTTTTTGTGGAATCTGCAAGTGGATATTTGTCTAGCTTTGAGGATTTCGTTGGAAACGGGATTACATATAAAAAGCAGACAGCAGCATTCTCAGAAACTTATTTGTGATGTGCGCCCTCAACTAACAGTGTTGAAGCTTTCTTTTGATAGAGCAGTTTTGAAACACTCTTTTTGTAATATCTGCAAGAGGATATTTGGATAGCTTTGAGGATTTCGTTGGAAACGGGATTAATTATACAAAGCAGACAGCAGCATTCTGAGAAGCTTCATTGGGATGTTTCAATTGAAGTCACAGTGTTGAACAGTCCCTTTCATAGAGCAGGTTTGAAACACTCTTTTTGTAGCATCTGGAAGTGGACATTTGGAGCGCTCTCAGGACTACGGTGAAAAAGGAAATATCTTCCAATAAAAGCTTGATAGAAGCAATGTGAGAAACTTTTTCATGATGTATCTACTCAGCTAAAAGAGTTGAACCTTTCTTTTGAGAGAGCAGTTTTGAAACACTCTTTTTGTGGAGTCTGCAAGTGGATATTTGTCTAGCTTTGAGGATTTCTTTGGAAACGGGATTACATATAAAAAGCAGACAGCAGCATTCCCAGTAACTTCTTTGTGATGTTTGCATTCAAGTCACAGAGTTGAACATTCCCTTTCATAGAGCAGGTTTGAAACACTTTTTTTGTAGTATCTGGATGTGGACATTTGGAGCGCTTTCAGGCCTATGGTGAAAAAGGAAATATTTTCCAATAAAAGCTAGATAGAAGCAATGTCAGAAACTTTTTCATGATGTATCTACTCAGCTAACAGAGTTGAACCTTTCTTTTGAGAGAGCAGTTTTGAAACACTCTTTTTGTGGAATCTGGAAGTGGATATTTGTCTAGCTTTGAGGATTTCGTTGGAAACGGGATTACATATAAAAAGCAGACAGCAGCATTCCCAGTAACTTCTTTGTGATGTTTGCATTCAAGTCACAGAGTTGAACATGCCCTTTCATAGAGCAGGTTTGAAACACTCTTTTTCTAGTATCTGGATGTGGACATTTGGAGCGCTTTCAGGCCTATGGTGAAAAAGGAAATATCTTCCCCTGAAAACTAGACAGAAGCATTCTCAGAATCTTATTTGTGATGTGCGCCGTCAACTAACAGTGTTGAAGCTTTCTTTTGATAGAGCAGTTTTGAAACACTCTTTTCGTAAAATCTGCAGGAGGATATTTTGATAGCTTTGAGGATTTCGTTGGAAACGGGATTGTCTTCATATAAACTCTAGACAGAAGCATTCTCAGAAGCTTCATTGGGATGTTTCAATTGAAGTCACAGTGTTGAACAGTCCCTTTCATAGAGCAGGTTTCAAACACTCTTTTTGTAGTATCTGGATGTGGACATTTGGAGCGCTTTCAGGCCTATGGTTTAAAAGGAAATATCTTCCCCTGAAAACTAGACAGAAGCATTCTCAGAAACTTATTTGTGATGTGCGCCCTCAACTAACAGTGTTGAAGCATTCTTTTGATAGAGCAGTTTTGAAAAACTCTTTTTGTGGAATCTGCAAGTGGATATTTGTCTAGCTTTGAGGATTTCGTTGGAAACGGGATTACATATAAAAAGCAGACAGCAGCATTCTCAGAAACTTATTTGTGATGTGCGCCCTCAACTAACAGTGTTGAAGCTTTCTTTTGATAGAGCAGTTTTGAAACACTCTTTTTGTAATATCTGCAAGAGGATATTTGGATAGCTTTGAGGATTTCGTTGGAAACGGGATTAATTATACAAAGCAGACAGCAGCATTCTCAGAAGCTTCATTAGGATGTTTCAATTGAAGTCACAGTGTTGAACAGTCCCTTTCATAGAGCAGGTTTGAAACACTGTTTTTGTAGTATCTGGAAGTGGACATTTGGAGAGATCTCAGGAATACGGTGATAAAGGAAATATCTTCCAATAAAAGCTAGATAGAAGCAATGTCAGAAACTTTTTCATGATGTATCTACTCAGCTAACAGAGTTGAACCTTTCTTTTGAGAGAGCAGTTTTGAAACACTCTTTTTGTGTAATCTGCAACTGGATATTTGTCTAGCTTTGAGGAATTCGTTGGAAACGGGATTACATATAAAAAGCAGACAGCAGCATTCCCAGAAACTTCTTTGTGATGTTTGCATTCAAGTCACAGAGTTGAACATTCCCTTTCATAGAGCAGGTTTGAAACACTCTTTTTGTAGTATCTGGATGTGGACATTTGGAGCGCTTTCAGGCCTATGGTGAAAAAGGAAATATCTTCCCCTGAAAACTAGACAGAAGCATTCTCAGAATCTTATTTGTGATGTGCGCCCTCAACTAACAGTGTTGAAGCTTTCTTTTGATAGAGCAGTTTTCAAACTCTCTTTTTGTAAAATCTGCAAGAGGATATTTGGATAGCTTTGAGGATTTCTTTGGAAACGGGATTGTCTTCATATAAACTCTAGACAGAAACATTCTCAGAAGCGTCATTGGGATGTTTCAATTGAAGTCACAGTGTTGAACAGTCCCTTTCATAGAGCAGGTTTGAAACACTCTTTTTGTAGTATCTGGATGTGGACATTTGGAGCGCTTTCAGGCCTATGGTTTAAAAGGAAATATCTTCCCCTGAAAACTAGACAGAAGCATTCTCAGAAACTTATTTGTGATGTGCGCCCTCAACTAACAGTGTTGAAGCTTTCTTTTGATAGAGCAGTTTTGAAACACTCTTTTTGTGGAATCTGCAAGTGGATATTTGTCTAGCTTTGAGGATTTCGTTGGAAACGGGATTACATATAAAAAGCAGACAGCAGCATTCCCAGAAACTTGTTTGTGATGTTTGCATTCAAGTCACAGAGTTGAACATTCCCTTTCATAGAGCAGGTTTGAAACACTCTTTTTGTAGTATCAGTATGTGGACATTTGGAGCGCTTTCAGGCCTATGGTGAAAAAGGAAATATCTTCCCCTGAAAACTAGACAGAAACATTCTCAGAAGCTTCATTGGGATGTTTCAATTGAAGTCACAGTGTTGAAGAGTCCCTTTCATAGAGCAGGTTTGAAACACTCTTTTTGTAGTATCTGGAAGTGGACATTTGGATCGCTCTCAGGACTGCGGTGAAAAAGGAAGTATCTTCCAATAAAAGCTAGAGAGAAGCAAAGTCAGAAACTTTTTCATGATGTATCTACTCAGCTAACAGAGTTGAACCTTTCTTTTGAGAGAGCAGTTTTGAAGCACTCTTTTTGTGGAATCTGCAAGTGGATATTTGTCTAGCTTTGAGGATTTCGTTGGAAACGGGATTACATATAAAAAGCAGACAGCAGCATTCCCACTAACTTCTTTGTGATGTTTTCATTCAAGTCACAGAGTTGAACATTCCCTTTCAGAGAGCAGGTTTGAAACACTCTTTTTATAGTATCTGGATGTGGACATTTGGAGCGCTTTCAGGCCTATGGTGAAAAAGGAAATATCTTCTCCTGAAAACTAGACAGAAGCATTCTCAGAAACTTATTTGTGATGTGCGCCCTCAACTAACAGTGTTGAAGCTTTCTTTTGATAGAGCAGTTTTGAAACACTCTTTTTGTAATATCTGCAAGAGGATATTTGGATAGCTTTGAGGATTTCGTTGGAAACGGGATTGTCTTCATATAAACTCTAGGCAGAAGCATTCTCAGAAGCTTCATTGGGATGTTTCAATTGAAGTCACAGTGTTGAACAGTCCCTTTCATAGAGCAGGTTTGAAACACTCTTTTTGTAGTATCTGGATGTGGACATTTATGAGCGCTTTCAGGCCTATGGTGAAAAAGGAAATATCTTCTCCTGAAATCTAGACAGAAGCATTCTCAGAAACTTATTTGTGATGTGCGCCCTCAACTAACAGTGTTGAAGCATTCTTTTGATAGAGCAGTTTTGAAACACTCTTTTTGTGGAATCTGCAAGTGGATATTTGTCTAGCTTTGAGGATTTCGTTGGAAACGGGATTACATATAAAAAGCAGACAGCAGCATTCTCAGCAAACTTATTTGTGATGTGCGCCCTCAACTAACAGTGTGGAACTTTTCTTTTGATAGAGCAGTTTTGAAACACTCTTTTTGTAAAATCTGCAAGAGGATATTTGGATAGCTTTGAGGATTTCGTTGGAAACGGGATTGTCTTCATATAGAATCTAGACAGAAGCATTCTCAGAAGCTTCATTGGGATGTTTCAATTGAAGTCACAGTGTTGAACAGTCCCTTTCATAGAGCAGGTTTGAAACACTCTTTTTGTAGTATCTTGAAGTGGACATTTGGAACGCTCTCAGGACTGCGGTGAAAAAGGAAATATCTTCCAATAAAAGCTAGATAGAAGCAATGTCAGAAACTTTTTCATGATGTATCTACTCAGCTAACAGAGTTGAACCTTTCCTTTGAGAGAGCAGTTTTGAAACACTCTTTTTGTGGAATCTGCAAGTGGATATTTGTCTAGCTTTGAGGATTTCGTTGGAAACGGGATTGTCTTCATATAAACTCTAGACAGAAGCATTCCCAGTAACTTCTTTGTGATGTTTGCATTCAAGTCACAGAGTTGAACATTCCCTTTCATAGAGCAGGTTTGAAACACTCTTTTTGTAGTATCTGGATGTGGACATTTGGAGCAGCTTTCAGGCCTATGGTGAAAAAGGAAATATCTTCCCCTGAAAACTAGACAGAAGCATTCTCAGAAACTTATTTGTGATGTGCGCCCTCAACTAACAGTGTTGAACCTTTCTTTTGATAGAGCAGTTTTGAAACACTCTTTTTGTAATATCTGCAAGAGGATATTTGGATAGCTTTAAGGATTTCGTTGGAAACGGGATTGTCTTCATATAAACTCTAGACAGAAGCATTCTCAGAAGCGTCATTGGGATGTTTCAATTGAAGTCACAGTGTTGAACAGTCCCTTTCATAGAGCAGGTTTGAAACACTCTTTTTGTAGTATCTGGATGTGGACATTTGGAGCGCTTTCAGGCCTATGGTTTAAAAGGAAATATCTTCCCCTGAAAACTAGACAGAAGCATTCTCAGAATCTTATTTGTGATGTGCGCCCTCAACTAACAATGTTGAAGCTTTCTTTTGATAGAGCAGTTTTGAAACACTCTTTTTGTGGAATCTGCATGTGGATATTTTTCTAGCTTTGAGGATTTCGTTGGAAACGGGATTACATATAAAAAGCAGACAGCAGCATTCTCAGAAACTTATTTGTGATGTGCGCCCTCAACTAACAGTGTTGAAGCTTTATTTTGATAGAGCAGTTTTGAAACACTCTTTTTGTAATATCTGCAAGAGAATATTTGGATAGCTTTGAGGATTTCGTTGGAAACGGGATTGTCTTCATATAAACTCTAGAAAGAAGCATTCTCAGAAGCTTCTTTGGGATGTTTCAATTGAAGTCACAGTGTTGAACAGTCCCTTTCATAGAGCAGGTTTGAAACACTCTTTTTGTAGTATCTGGAAGTGGACATTTGGAGAGATCTCAGGAATACGGTGATAAAGGAAATATCTTCCAATAAAAGCTAGATAGAAGCAATGTCAGAAACTTTTTCATGATGTATCTACTCAGCTAACAGAGTTGAACCTTTCTTTTGAGAGAGCAGTTTTGAAACACTCTTTTTGTGGAATCTGGAAGTGGATATTTGTCTAGCTTTGAGGATTTCGTTGGAAACGGGATTACATATAAAAAGCAGACAGCAGCATTCCCAGAAACTTCTTTGTGATGTTTGCATTCAAGTCACAGAGTTGAACATTCCCTTTCATAGAGCAGGTTTGAAACACTCTTTTTGTAGTATCTGGATGTGGACATTTGGAGTGCTTTCAAGCCTATGGTGAAAAAGGAAATATCTTCCCCTGAAAACTAGACAGAAGCATTCTCAGAATGTTATTTGTTATGTGCGCCCTCAACTAACAGTGTTGAAGCTTTCTTTTGATAGAGCAGTTTTGAAACACTCTTTTTATAAAATCTGCAAGAGGAGATTTGGATAGCTTTGAGGATTTCTTTGGAAACGGGATTGTCTTCATATAAACTCTAGACAGAAGCATTCTCAGAAGCTTCATTGGGATGTTTCAATTGAAGTCACAGTGTTGAACAGTCCCTTTCATAGAGCAGGTTTGAAACACTCTTTTTGTAGTATCTGGATGTGGACATTTCGAGCGCTTTCAGGCCTATGGTGAAAAAGGAAATATCTTCCCCTGAAAACTAGACAGAAGCATTCTCAGAAACTTATTTGTGATGTGCGCCCTCAACTAACAGTGTTGAAGCATTCTTTTGATAGAGCAGTTTTGAAACACTCTTTTTGTGGAATCTGCAAGTGGATATTTGTACTAGCTTTGAGGATTTCGTTGGAAACGGGATTACATATAAAAAGCAGACAGCAGCATTCTCAGTAAACTTATTTGTGATGTGCGCCCTCAACTAACAGTGTTGAACCTTTCTTTTGATAGAGCAGTTTTGAAACACTCTTTTTGTAATATCTGCAAGAGGATATTTGGATAGCTTTGAGGATTTCGTTGGAAACGGGATTGTCTTCATATAAACTCTAGACAGAAGCATTCTCAGAAGCTTCATTGGGATGTTTCAATTGAAGTCACAGTGTTGAACAGTCCCTTTCATAGAGCAGGTTTGAAACACTCTTTTTGTAGTATCTGGAAGTTGACATTTGGAGCGCTCTCAGGACTACGGTGAAAAAGGAAATGTCTTCCAATAAAAGCTAGATAGAAGCAATGTAAGAAAATTTTTCATGATGTATCTACTCAGCTAACAGAGTTGAACCTTTTTTTTCAGAGAGCAGTTTTGAAACACTCTTTTTGTTGGATCTGCAGGTGGATATTTGTCTAGCTTTGAGGATTTCGTTGGAAACGGGATTACATATAAAAAGCAGACAGCAGCATTCCCAGAAACTTCTTTGTGATGTTTGCATTCAAGTCACAGAGTTGAACATTCCCTTTCATAGAGCAGGTTTGAAACACTCTTTTTGTAGTATCTGGATGTGGACATTTGGAGCGCTTTCAGGCCTATGGTGAAAAAGGAAATATCTTCCCCTGAAAACTAGACAGAAGCATTTTCAGAATCTTATTTGTGATGTGCGCCCTCAGCTAACAGTGTTGAAGCTTTCTTTTGATAGAGCAGTTTTGAAACAGTCTTTTTGTAAAATCTGCAAGAGGATATTTGGATAGCTTTGGGGATTTCATTGGAAACGGGATTTTCTTCATATAAACTCAAGACAGAAGCATTCTCAGAAGCTTCATTGGGATGTTTCAATTGAAGTCACAGTGTTGAACAGTCCCTTTCATAGAGCAGGTTTGAAACACTCTTTTTGTAGTATCTGGAAGTGGACATTTGGAGCGCTCTCAGGACTACAGTGAAAAAGGAAATATCTTCCAATAAAAGCTACATAGAAGCAATGTCAGAAACTTTTTCATGATGTATCTACTCAGCTAACAGAGTTGAAACTTTCTTTTGAGAGAGCAGTTTTGAAACACTCTTTTTGTGGAATCTGGAAGTGGATATTTGTCTAGCTTTGAGGATTTCGTTGGAAACGGGATTAAATATAAAAGGCAGACAGCAGCATTCCCAGTAACTTGTTTGTGATGTTTCCATTCAAGTGACAGAGTTGAACATTCCCTTTCATAGAGCAGGTTTGAAACACTCTTTTTGTAGTATCTGGATGTGGACATTTGGAGCGCTTTCAGGCCTATGGTGAAAAAGGAAATATCTTCCCCTGAAAACTAGACAGAAGCATTCTCAGAAACTTATTTGTGATGTGCGCCCTCAACTAACACTGTTGAACCTTTCTTTTGATAGAGCAGTTTTGAAACACTCTTTTTGTAATATCTGCAAGAGGATATTTGGATAGCTTTGAGGATTTCGTTGGAAACGGGATTGTCTTCATATAAAATCTAGACAGAAGCATTCTCAGAAGCTTCATTGGGATGTTTCAATTGAAGTCACAGTGTTGAACAGTCCCTTTCATAGAGCAGGTTTGAAACACTCTTTTTGTAGTATCTGGAAGTGGACATTTGGAGAGATCTCAGGAATACGGTGATAAAGGAAATATCTTCCAATAAAAGCTAGATAGAAGCAATGTCAGAAACTTTTTCATGATGTATCTACTCAGCTAACAGAGTTGAACCTTTCTTTTGAGAGAGCAGTTTTGAAACACTCTTTTTGTGGAATCTGCAAGTGGATATTTGTCTAGCTTTGAGGATTTCGTTGGAAACGGGATTACATATACAAAGCAGACAGCAGAATTCCCAGTAACTTCTTTGTGATGTTTGCATTCAAGTCACAGAGTTGAACATTCCCTTTCATAGAGCAGGTTTGAAACACTCTTTTTGTAGTATCTGGATGTGGACATTTTGAGCGCTTTGAGGCCTATGGTGAAAAAGGAAATTTCTTCCCCTGAAAACTAGACAGAAGCATTCTCAGAATCTTATTTGTGATGTGCGCCCTCAACTAACAGTGTTGAAGCTTTCTTTTGATAGAGCAGTTTTGAAACACTCTTTTTGTAATATCTGCAAGAGGATATTTGGATAGCTTTGAGGATTTCATTGGAAACGGGATTGTCTTCATATAAACTCTAGACAGAAGCATTCTCAGAAGCGTCATTGGGATGTTTCAATTGAAGTCACAGTGTTGAACAGTCCCTTTCATAGAGCAGGTTTGAAACACTCTTTTTGTAGTATCTGGATGTGGACATTTGGAGCGCTTTCAGGCCTATGGTTTAAAAGGAAATATCTTCCCCTGAAAACTAGACAGAAGCATTCTCAGAAACTTATTTGTGATGTGCGCCCTCAACTAATAGTGTTGAAGCTTTCTTTTGATAGAGCAGTTTTGAAACACTCTTTTTGTGGAATCTGCAAGTGGATATTTGTCTAGCTTTGAGGATTTCGTTGGAAACGGGATTACATATAAAAAGCAGACAGCAGCATTCTCAGAATCTTATTTGTGATGTGCGCCCTCAACTAACAGTGTTGAAGCTTTCTTTTGATGGAGCAGTTTTGAAACACTCTTTTTGTAAAATCTGCAAGAGGATATTTGGATAGCTTTGAGGATTTCGTTGGAAACGCGATTGTCTTCATATAAACTCTAGACAGTAGCATTCTGAGAAGCTTCATTGGGATGTTTCAATTGAAGTCACAGTGTTGAACAGTCCCTTTAATATAGCAGGTTTGAAACACTCTTTTTGTAGCATCTGGAAGTGGACATTTGGAGCGCTCTCAGGACTATGGTGAAAAAGGAAATATCTTCCCATAAAAGCTAGATAGAAGCAGTGTCAGAAACTTTTTCATGATGTTTCTACTCAGCTAACAGAGTTGAACCTTTCTTTTGAGAGAGCAGTTTTGAAACCCTCTTTTTGTGGAATCTGCAAGTGGATATTTGTCTACCTTTGAGGATTGCGTTTGAAACGGGATTACATATAAAAAGCAGACAGCAGCATTCCCAGAATCTTCTTTGAGATGTTTGCATTCAAGTCACAGAGTTGAACATTCCCTTTCATAGAGCAGGTTTGAAACACTCTTTTTATAGTATCTGGATGTGGACATTTGGAGCGCTTTCAGGCCTATGGTGAAAAAGGAAATATCTTCTCCTGAAAACTAGACAGAAGCATTCTCAGAATCTTATTTGTGATGTGCGCCCTCAACTAACAGTGTTGAAGCTTTCTTTTGATAGAGCAGTTTTGAAACACTCTTTTCGTAAAATCTGCAAGAGGATATTTGGATAGCTTTGAGGATTTCGTTGGAAACGGGATTATCTTCATATAAACTCTAGACAGAAGCATTCTCAGAAGCTTCATTGGGATGTTTCAATTGAAGTCACAGTGTTGAACAGTCCCTTTCATAGAGCAGGTTTGAAACACTCTTTTTGTAGTATCTGGAAGTGGACATTTGGAGAGATCTCAGGAATACGGTGAAAAAGGAAATATCTTCTCCTGAAAACTAGACAGAAGCATTCTCAGAATCTTATTTGTGATGTGCGCCCTCAACTAACAGTGTTGAAGCTTTCTTTTGATAGAGCAGTTTTGAAACACTCTTTTTGTGGAATCTGCAAGTGGATATTTGTCTAGCTTTGAGGATTTCGTTGGAAACGGGATTACATATACAAAGCAGACAGCAGCATTCTCAGTAAACTTATTTGTGATGTGCGCCCTCAACTAACAGTGTTGAACCTTTCTTTTGATAGAGCAGTTTTGAAACACTCTTTTTGTAATATCTGCAAGAGGATATTTGGATAGCTTTGAGGATTTCGTTGGAAACGGGATTGTCTTCATATAAACTCTAGACAGAAGCATTCTCAGAAGCTTCATTGGGATGTTTCAATTGAAGTCACAGTGTTGAACAGTCCCTTTCATAGAGCAGGTTTGAAACACTCTTTTTGTAGTATCTGGAAGTGGACATTTGGAGCGCTCTCAGGACTACGGTGAAAAAGGAAATATCTTCCAATAAAAGCTAGATAGAAGCAATGTCAGAAAATTTTTCATGAGGTATCTACTCAGCTAACAGAATTGAACCTTTCTTTTGAGAGAGCAGTTTTGAAACACTCTTTTTGTGGAATCTGCAGGTGGATATTTGTCTAGCTTTGAGGATTTCGTTGGAAACGGGATTACATATAAAAAGCAGACAGCAGCATTTCCAGTAACTTCTTTGTGATGTTTGCATTCAAGTCACAGAGTTGAACATTCCCTTTCATAGAGCAGGTTTGAAACACTCTTTTTGTAGTATCTGGATGTGGACATTTGGAGCGCTTTCAGGCCTATTGTGAAAAAGGAAATATCTTCCCCTGAAAACTAGACAGAAGCATTCTCAGAATCTTATTTGTGATGTGCGCCCTCAACTAACAGTGTTGAAGCTTTCTTTTGATAGAGCAGTTTTGAAACACTCTTTTTGTAAAATCTGCAAGAGGATATTTGGATAGCTTTGAGGATTTCGTTGGAAACGGAATTGTCTTCATATAAACTCTAGACAGAAGTATTCTCAGAAGCTTCATTGGGATGTTTCAATTGAAGTCACAGTGTTGAACAGTCCCTTTCATAGAGCAGGTTTGAAACACTCTTTTTGTAGTATCCGGATGTGGACATTTGGAGCGCTTTCAGGCCTATGGTGAAAAAGGAAATATCTTCCCCTGAAAACTAGACAGAAGCATTCTCAGAAACTTATTTGTGATGTGCGCCCTCAACTAACAGTGTTGAACCTTTCTTTTGATAGAGCAGTTTTGAAACACTCTTTTTGTAATATCTGCAAGAGGATATTTGGATAGCTTTGAGGATTTCGTTGGAAACGGGATTAATTATAAAAAGCAGACAGCAGCATTCTCAGAAACTTATTTGTGATGTGCGCCCTCAACTAACAGTGTTGAAGCTTTCTTTTGATAGAGCAGTTTTGAAACACTCTTTTTGTAATATCTGCAAGAGGATATTTGGATAGCTTTGAGGATTTCGTTGGAAACGGGATTAATTATACAAAGCAGACAGCAGCATTCTCAGAAGCTTCATTGGGATGTTTCAATTGAAGTCACAGTGTTGAACAGTCCCTTTCATAGAGCAGGTTTGAAACACTCTTTTTGTAGTATCTGGAAGTGGACATTTGGAGAGATCTCAGGAATACGGTGATAAAGGAAATATCTTCCAGTAAAAGCTAAATAGAAGCAATGTCAGAAACTTTTTCATGATGTATCTACTCAGCTAACAGAGTTGAACCTTTCTTTTGAGAGAGCCGTTTTGAAACACTCTTTTTGTGGAATCTGCAAGTGGATATTTGTCTAGCTTTGAGGATTTCGTTGGAAACGGGATTACATATAAAAAGCAGACAGCAGCATTCCCAGAAACTTCTTTGTGATGTTTGCATTCAAGTCACAGAGTTGAACATTCCCTTTCATAGAGCAGGTTTGAAACACTCTTTTTGTAGTATCTGTATGTGGACATTTGGAGCGCTTTCAGGCCTATGGTGAAAAAGGAAATATCTTCCCCTGAAAACTAGACAGAAGCATTCTCAGAATCTTATTTGTGATGTGCGCCCTCAACTAACAGTGTTGAAGCTTTCTTTTGATAGAGCAGTTTTGAAACACTCTTTTTGTAAAATCTGCAAGAGGATATTTTGATAGCTTTGAGGATTTCGTTGGAAACGGGATTGTCTTCATATAAACTCTAGACAGAAGCATTCTCAGAAGCTTCATTGGGATGTTTCAATTGAAGTCACAGTGTTGAACAGTCCCTTTCATAGAGCAGGTTTGAAACACTCTTTTTGTAGTATCTGGAAGTGGACGTTTGGAGAGATCTCAGGAATACGGTGATAAAGGAAATATCTTCCAATAAAAGCTAGATAGAAGCAATGTCAGAAACTTTTTCATGATGTATCTACTCAGCTAACAGAGTTGAACCTTTCTTTTGAGAGAGCAGTTTTGAAACACTCTTTTTGTGGAATCTGCAAGTGGATATTTGTCTAGCATTGAGGATTTCGTTGGAAACGGGATTACATATAAAAAGCAGACAGCAGCATTCCCAGAAACTTCTTTGTGATGTTTGCATTCAAGTCACAGAGTTGAACATTCCCTTTCATAGAGCAGGTTTGAAACACTCTTTTTCTAGTATCTGGATGTGGACATTTGCAGCGCTTTCAGGCCTAAGGTGAAAAAGGAAATATCTTCCCCTGAAAACTAGACAGAAGCATTCTCAGAATCTTATTTGTGATGTGCGCCCTCAACTAACAGTGTTGAAGCTTTCTTTTGATAGAGCAGTTTTGAAACCCTCTTTTCGTAAAATCTGCAAGAGGATATTTTGATAGCTTTGAGGATTTCGTTGGAAACGGGATTGTCTTCATATAAACTCTAGACAGAAGCATTCTCAGAAGCTTCATTGGGATGTTTCAATTAAAGTCACAGTGTTGAACAGTCCCTTTCATAGAGCAGGTTTGAAACACTCTTTTTGTAGTATCTGGAAGTGGACATTTGGAGCGCTCTCAGGACTGCGGTGAAAAAGGAAATATCTTCCAATAAAAGCTAGATAGAAGCAATGTCAGAAACTTTTTCATGATGTATCTACTCAGCTAACAGAGTTGAACCTTCCTTTGAGACAGCAGTTTTGAAACACTCTTTTTGTGGAATCTGCAAGTGGATATTTGTCTAGCTTTGAGGATTTCGTTGGAAACGGGTTACATATAAAAAGCAGACAGCAGCATTCCCAGAAACTTCTTTGTGATGTTTGCATTCAAGTCACAGAGTTTAACATTCCCTTTCATAGAGCAGGTTTGAAACACTCTTTTTGTAGTATCTGGATTTGGACATTTGCAGCCCTTTCAGGCCTATGGTGAAAAAGGAAATAACTTCCACTGAAAACTAGACTGAAGTATTCTCAGAAACTTATTTGTGATGTGCGCCCTCAACTAACAGTGTTGAAGCTTTCTTTTGATAGAGCAGTTTTGAAATATTCTTTTTGTAAAATCTGCAAGAAGATATTTGGATAGCTTTGAGGATTTCGTTGGAAACGGGATTGTCTTCATGTTAACCCTAGACAGTAAGCATTCTCAGTAAGCTTCATTGGGATGTTTCAATTGAAGTCACAGTGTTGAACAGTCCCTTTGATAGAGCAGGTTTGAAACACTCTTTTTGTAGTATCTGGATGTGGACATTTGCAGCGCTTTCAGGCATAAGGTGAAAAAGGAAATATCTTCCCCTGAAAACTAGACAGAAGCATTCTCAGAAACTTATTTGTGATGTGCCCCCTCAACTAACAGTGTTGAAGCTTTCTTTTGATAGAGCAGTTTAGAAACACTCTTTTTGTGGAATCTGCAAGTGGATATTTGTCTAGCTTTGAGGATTTCGTTGGAAACGGGATTACATATAAAAAGCAGACAGCAGCATTCTCAGAAACTTATTTGTGATGTGCGCCCTCAACTAACAGTGTTGAAGCTTTCTTTTGATAGAGCAGTTTTGAAACACTCTTTTTGTAATATCTGCAAGAGGATATTTGGATAGCTTTGAGGATTTCGTTGGAAACGGGATTAATTATACAAAGCAGACAGCAGCATTCTCAGAAGCTTCATTGGGATGTTTCAATTGAAGTCACAGTGTTGAACAGTCCCTTTCATAGAGCAGGTTTGAAACACTCTTTTTGTAGTATCTGGAAGTGGACATTTGGAGCGCTCTCAGGACTACGGTGAAAAAGGAAATATCTTCCAATAAAAGCTAGATAGAAGCAATGTCAGAAACTTTTTCATGATGTATCTACTCAGCTAACAGAGTTGAACCTTTCTTTTGAGAGAGCAGTTTTGAAACACTCTTTTTGTGGAATCTGCAAGTGGATATTTGTCTAGCTTTGAGGATTTCGTTGAAAACGGGATTACATATAAAAAGCAGACAGCAGCATTCCCAGAAACTTCTTTGTGATGTTTGCATTCACGTCACACAGTTGAACACTCCCTTTCATAGAGCAGGTTTGAAACACTCTTTTTGTAGTATCTGGATGTGGACATTTGGAGCGCTTTCAGCCCTATGGTGAAAAAGGAAATATCTTCTCCTGAAAACTAGACAGAAGCATTCTCAGAAACTTATTTGTGATGTGCGCCCTCAACTAACAGTGTTGAACCTTTCTTTTGATAGAGCAGTTTTGAAACACTCTTTTTGTAATATCTGCAAGAGGATATTTGGATAGCTTTGAGGATTTCGTTGGAAACGGGATTGTCTTCATATAAACTCTAGACAGAAGCATTCTCAGAAGCTTCATTGGGATGTTTCAATTGAAGTCACAGTGTTGAACAGTCCCTTTCATAGAGCAGGTTTGAAACACTCTTTTTGTAGTATCTGGATGTGGACATTTGGAGCGCTTTCAGGCCTATGGTGAAAAAGGAAATATCTTCCCCTGAAAACTAGACAGAAGCATTCTCAGAAACTTATTTGTGATGTGCGCCCTCAACTAACAGTGTTGAAGCATTCTTTTCATAGAGCAGTATTGAAACACTCTTTTTGTGGAATCTGCAAGTGGATATTTGTCTAGCTTTGAGGATTTCGTTGGAAACGGGATTACATATAAAAAGCAGACAGCAGCATTCTCAGAATCTTATTTGTGATGTGCGCCCTCAACTAACAGTGTTGAACCTTTCTTTTGATAGAGCAGTTTTGAAACACTCTTTTTGTAAAATCTGCAAGAGGATATTTGCATAGCTTTGAGGATTTCATTGGAAACGGGATTGTCTTCAAATAAACTCTAGACAGAAGCATTCTCAGAAGCTTCATTGGGATGTTTCAATTGAAGTCACAGTGTTGAACAGTCCCTTTCATAGAGCAGGTTTGAAACACTCTTTTTGTAGTATCTGGAAGTGGACATTTGGAGCGCTCTCAGGACTGCGGTGAAAAAAGGAAATATCTTCCAATAAAAGCTACATAGAAGCAATGTGAGAAACTTTTTCATGATGTATCTACTCAGCTAAAAGAGTTGAACCTTTCTTTTGAGAGAGCAGTTTTGAAACACTCTTTTTGTGGAATCTGCAAGTGGATATTTGTCTAGCTTTGAGGATTTCTTTGGAAACGGGATTACATATAAAAAGCAGACAGCAGCATTCCCAGAATCTTTTTTGTGATATTTGCATTCAAGTCACAGAGTTGAACATTCCCTTTCAGAGAGCAGGTTTGAAACACTCTTTTTATAGTATCTGGATGTGGACATTTGGAGCGCTTTCAGGCCTATGGTGAAAAAGGATATATCTTCTCCTGAAAACTATACAGAAGCATTCTCAGAAACTTATTTGTGATGTGCGCCCTCAACTAACAGCGTTGAAGCTTTCTTTTGATAGAGCAGTTTTGAAACACTCTTTTTGTAAAATCTGCAAGAGGATATTTGGATATCTTTGAGGATTTCATTGGAAACGGGATTGTCTTCATATAAACTCTAGACAGAAGCATTCCCACAAACTTCTTTGCGATGTTTGCATTCAAGTCACAGAGTTGAACATTCCCTTTCATAGAGCAGGTTTGAAACACTCTTTTTGTAGTGTCTGTATGTGGACATTTGGAGCGCTTTCAGGCCTATGGTGAAAAAGGAAATATCTTCCCCTGAAAACTAGACAGAAGCATTCTCAAAATCTTATTTGTGATGTGCGCCCTCAACTAACAGTGTTGAAGCTTTCTTTTGATAGAGCAGTTTTGAAACACTCTTTTTGTGGAATCTGTAAGTGGATATTTGTCTAGCTTTGAGGATTTCGTTGGAAACGGGATTACATATAAAAAGCAGACAGCAGCATTCTCAGAATCTTATCTGTGATGTGCGCCCTCAACTAACAGTGTTGAAGCTTTCTTTTGATAGAGCAGTTTTGAAACACTCTTTTTGTAAAATCTGCAAGAGGATATTTGCATAGCTTTGAGGATTTCATTGGAAACGGGATTGTCTTCATATAAACTCTAGACAGAAGCATTCTCAGAAGCTTCATTGGGATGTTTCAATTGAAGTCACAGTGTTGAACAGTCCCTTTCATAGAGCAGGTTTGAAACACTCTTTTTGTAGTATCTGGAAGTGGACATTTGGAGCGCTCTCAGGACTACGGTGAAAAAGGAAATATCTTCCAATAAAAGCTACATAGAAGCAATGTCAGAAAATTTCTCATGATGTATCTATTCAGCTAACAGAGTTGAACCTTTCTTTTGAGAGAGCAGTTTTGAAACACTCTTTTTGTGGAATCTGCAAGTGGATATTTGTCTATCTTTGAGGATTTCGTTGGAAACGGGATTACATATAAAAAGCAGACAGCAGCATTCCCAGAAAGTTCTTTGTGAAATTTGCATTCAAGTCACAGACTTGAACATTCCCTTTCATAGAGCAGGTTTGAAACTCTCTTTTTGTAGTATCTGGATGTGGACATTTGGAGCGCTTTCAGGCCTATGGTGAAAAAGGAAATATCTTCCCCTGAAAACTAGACAGAAGCATTCTCAGAATTTTATTTGTGATGTGCGCCCTCAACTAACAGTGTTGAAGCTTTCTTTTGATAGAGCAGTTTTGAAACACTCTTTTTGTAAAATCTGCTAGAGGATATTTGGATAGCTTTGAGGATTTCTTTGGAAACGGGATTGTCTTCATATAAACTCTAGACAGAAGCATTCTCAGAAGCTTCATTGGGATGTTTCAATTGAAGTCACAGTGTTGAACAGTCCCTTTCATAGAGCAGGTTTGAAACACTCTTTTTGTAGTATCTGGATGTGGACATTTGGAGCGCTTTCAGGCCTATGGTGAAAAAGGAAATATCTTCCCCTGAAAACTAGACAGAAGCATTCTCAGAAACTTATTTGTGATGTGCCCCCTCAACTAACAGTGTTGAAGCTTTCTTTTGATAGAGCAGTTTAGAAACACTCTTTTTGTGGAATCTGCAAGTGGATATTTGTGCTAGCTTTGAGGATTTCGTTGGAAACGGGATTACATATAAAAAGCAGACAGCAGCATTCTCAGAAACTTATTTGTGATGTGCGCCCTCAACTAACAGTGTTGAAGCTTTCTTTTGATAGAGCAGTTTTGAAACACTCTTTTTGTAATATCTGCAAGAGGATATTTGGATAGCTTTGAGGATTTCGTTGGAAACGGGATTAATTATACAAAGCAGACAGCAGCATTCTCAGAAGCTTCATTGGGATGTTTCAATTGAAGTCACAGTGTTGAACAGTCCCTTTCATAGAGCAGGTTTGAAACACTCTTTTTGTAGTATCTGGAAGTGGACATTTGGAGCGCTCTCAGGACTGCGGTGAAAAAGGAAATATCTTCCAATAAAAGCTAGATAGAAGCAATGTCAGAAACTTTTTCATGATGTATCTACTCAGCTAACAGAGTTGAACCTTTCTTTTGAGAGAGCAGTTTTGAAACACTCTTTTTGTGGAATCTGCAAGTGGATATTTGTCTAGCTTTGAGGATTTCGTTGGAAACGGGATTACATATAAAAAGCAGACGGCAGCATTCCCAGAAACTTCTTTGTGATGTTTGCATTCAAGTCACAGAGTTGAACATTCCCTTTCATAGAGCAGGTTTGAAACACTCTTTTTGTAGTATCTGGATGTGGACATTTGCAGCGCTTTCAGGCCTAAGGTGAAAAAGGAAATATCTTCCCCTGAAAACTAGACAAAAGCATTCTCAGAATCTTATTTGTGATGTGCGCCCTCAAATAACAGTGTTGAAGCTTTCTTTTGATAGAGCAGTTTTGAAACACTCTTTTTGTAAAATCTGCAAGAGGATATTTGGATAGCTTTGAGGATTTCATTGGAAACGGGATTGTCTTCATATAAACTCTAGACAGAAGCATTCTCAGAAGCGTCATTGGGATGTTTCAATTGAAGTCACAGTGTTGAACAGTCCCTTTCATAGAGCAGGTTTGAAACACTCTTTTTGTAGTATCTGGATGTGGACATTTGGAGCGCTTTCAGGCCTATGGTTTAAAAGGAAATATCTTCCCTTGAAAACTAGACAGAAGCATTCTCAGAAACTTATTTGTGATGTGCGCCCTCAACTAACAGTGTTGAAGCATTCTTTTGATAGAGCAGTTTTGAAACACTCTTTTTGTGGAATCTGCAAGTGGATATTTGTCTAGCTTTGAGGATTTCGTTGGAAACGGGATTACATATGAAAAGCAGACAGCTAAGCATTCTCCGAAACTTATTTGTGATGGGCGCCCTCAACTAACAGTGTTGAAGCTTTCTTTTGATAGAGCAGTTTTGAAACACTCTTTTTGTAATATCTGCAAGAGGATATTTGGATAGCTTTCAGGATTTCGTTGGAAACGGGATTGTCTTCATATAAACTCTAGACATAAGCATTCTCAGAAGCTTCATTGGGATGTTTCAATTGAAGTCACAGTGTTGAACAGTCCCTTTCATAGAGCAGGTTTGAAACACTCTTTTTGTAGTATCTGGAAGTGGACATTTGGAGAGATCTCAGGAATACGGTGATAAAGGAAATATATTCCAATAAAAGCTAGATAGAAGCAATGTCAGAAACTTTTTCATGATGTATTTACTCAGCTAAAAGTGTTGAACCTTTCTTTTGAGAGAGCAGTTTTGAAACACTCTTTTTGTGGAATCTGCAAGTGGATATTTGTCTAGCTTTGAGGATTTCGTTGGAAACAGGATTACATATAAAAAGCAGACAGCAGCATTCCCAGAAACTTCTTTGTGATGTTTGCATTCAAGTCACAGAGTTGAACATTCCCTTTCATAGAGCAGGTTTGAAACACTCTTTTTGTAGTATCTGGATGTGGACATTTGGAGCGCTTTCAGGCCTATGGTGAAAAAGGAAATATCTTCCCCTGAAAACTAGACAGAAGCATTCTCAGAATCTTATTTGTGATGTGCGCACTCAACTAACAGTGTTGAAGCTTTCTTTTGATAGAGCAGCTTTGAAACACTCTTTTTGTAAAATCTGCAAGAGGATATTTGGATAGCTTTGAGGATTTCGTTGGAAACGGGATTGTCTTCATATAAACTCTAGACAGAAGCATTCTCAGAAGCTTCATTGGGATGTTTCAATTGAAGTCACAGTGTTGAACAGTCCCTTTCATAGAGCAGGTTTGAAACACTCTTTTTGTAGTATCTGGATGTGGACATTTGGAGCGCTTTCAGGCCTATGGTTTAAAAGGAAATATCTTCCCCTGAAAACTAGACAGAAGCATTCTCAGAAACTTATTTGTGATGTGCGCCCTCAACTAACAGTGTTGAAGCTTTCTTTTGATAGAGCAGTTTTGAAACACTCTTTTTGTGGAATCTGCAAGTGGATATTTGTCTAGCTTTGAGGATTTCGTTGGAAACGGGATTACATATAAAAAGCAGACAGCAGCATTCTCAGAATCTTATTTTTGATGTGCACCCTCAACTAACAGTGTTGAAGCTTTCTTTTGATAGAGCAGTTTTGAAACACTCTTTTTGTAAAATCTGCAAGAGGATATTTGGATAGCTTTGAGGATTTCGTTGGAAACGGGATTGTCTTCATATAAACTCTAGACAGAAGCATTCTCAGAAGCTTCATTGGGATGTTTCAATTGAAGTCACATGTTGAACAGTCCCTTTCATAGAGCAGGTTTGAAACACTCTTTTTGTAGTATCTGGAAGTGGACATTTGGAGCGCTCTCAGGACTGCGGTGAAAAAGGAAATATCTTCCAATAAAAGCTAGATAGAAGCAATGTCAGAAACTTTTTCATGATGTATCTACTCAGCTAACAGAGTTGAACCTTCCTTTGAGAGAGCAGTTTTGAAACACTCTTTTTGTGGAATCTGCAAGTGGATATTTGTCTAGCTTTGAGGATTTCGCTGGAAACCGGATTACATATAAAAAGCAGACAGCAGCATTCCCAGAAACTTCTTTGTGATGTTTGCATTCAAGTCACAGAGTTGAACATTCCCTTTCATAGAGCAGGTTTGTAACACTCTTTTTGTACTATCTGTATACGGACATTTGCAGCGCTTCCAGGCCTAAGGTGAAAAAGGAAATATCTTCCCCTGAAAACTAGACAGAAGCATTCTCAGAAACTTATTTGTGATGTGCGCCCTCAACTAACAGTGTTGAACCTTTCTTTTGATAGAGCAGTTTTGAAACACTCTTTTTGTAATATCTGCAAGAGGATATTTGGATAGCTTTGAGGATTTGCTTTGGAAACGGGATTGTCTTCATATAAACTCTAGACAGAAGCATTCTCAGAAGCTTCATTGGGATGTTTCAATTGAAGTCACAGTGTTGAACAGTCCCTTTCATAGAGCAGGTTTGAAACACTCTTTTTGTAGTATCTGGATGTGGACATTTGGAGCGCTTTCAGGCCTATGGTGAAAAAGGAAATATCTTCCCCTGAAAACTACACAGAAGCATTCTCAGAAACTTATTTGTGATGTGCGCCCTCAACTAACAGTGTTGAAGCATTCTTTTGATAGAGCAGTTTTGAAACACTCGTTTTGTGGAATCTGCAAGTGGATATTTGTCTAGCTTTGAGGATTTCGTTGGAAACGGGATTACATATAAAAAGCAGACAGCAGCATTCTCAGAAACTTATTTGTGATGTGCGCCCTCAACTAACAGTGTTGAAGCTTTCTTTTGATAGAGCAGTTTTGAAACACTCTTTTTGTAATATCTGCAAGAGGATATTTGGATAGCTTTGAGGATTTCGTTGGAAACGGGATTAATTATACAAAGCAGACAGCAGCATTCTCAGAAGCTTCATTGGGATGTTTCAACTGAAGTCACAGTGTTGAACATTCCCTTTCATAGAGCAGGTTTGAAACACTCTTTTTGTAGTATCTGGAAGTGGACATTTGGAGCGCTCTCAGGACTACGGTGAAAAAGGAAATATCTTCCAATAAAAGCTAGATAGAAGCAATGTCAGAAACTTTTTCATGATATATCTACTCAGCTAACAGAGTTCAACCTTTCTTTTGAGAGAGCAGTTTTAAAACAGTCTTTTTGTGGAATATGCAAGTGGATATTAAGCCAGCTTGGAGGATTTCGTTGGAAACGGGAATCCATATAAAAAGCAGACAGCAGCATTCCCAGAAACTTCTTTGTGACGTTTGCATTCAAGTCACAGAGTTGAACATTCCCTTTCATAGAGCAGGTTTGAAACACTCTTTTTGTAGTATCTGGATGTGGACATTTGGAGCGCTTTCAGGCCTATGGTGAAAAAGGAAATATCTTCCCCTGAAAACTAGACAGAAGCATTCTCAGAATCTTATCTGTGATGTGCGCCCTCAACTAACAGTGTTGAAGCTTTCTTTTGATAGAGCAGTTTTGAAACACTCTTTTCGTAAAATCTGCAAGAGGATATTTTGATAGCTTTGAGGATTTCGTTGGAAACGGGATTGTCTTCATATAAACTCTAGACAGAAGCATTCTCAGTAAGCTTCATTGGGATGTTTCAATTGAAGTTACAGTGTTGAACAGTCCCTTTCATAGAGCAGGTTTCAAACACTCTTTTTGTAGTATCTGGATGTGGACATTTGGAGCGCTTTCAGGCCTATGGTTTAAAAGGAAATATCTTCCCCTGAAAACTAGACAGAAGCATTCTCAGAAACTTATTTGTGATGTGCGCCCTCAACTAACAGTGTTGAAGCTTTCTTTTGATAGAGCAGTTTTGAAACACTCTTTTTGTGGAATCTGCAAGTGGATATTTGTCTAGCTTTGAGGATTTCGTTGGAAACGGGATTACATATAAAAAGCAGACAGCAGCATTCTCAGAAACTTATTTGTGATGTGCGCCCTCAACTAACAGTGTTGAAGCTTTCTTTTGATAGAGCAGTTTTGAAACACTCTTTTTGTAATATCTGCAAGAGGATATTTGGATAGCTTTGAGGATTTCGTTGGAAACGGGATTAATTATACAAAGCAGACAGCAGCATTCTCAGAAGCTTCATTGGGATGTTTCAATTGAAGTCACAGTGTTGAACAGTTCCTTTCATAGAACAGGTTTGAAACACACTTTTTGTAGTATCTGGAAGTGGACATTTGGAGGGCTCTCAGGACTATGGTGAAAAATTAAATATCTTCCAATAAAAGCTACATAGAAGCAATGTCAGAAACTTTTTCATGATGTATCTACTCAGCTAACAGAGTTGAACCTTCCTTTGAGAGAGCAGTTTTGAAACACTCTTTTTGTGGAATCTGCAAGTGGATATTTGTCTAGCTTTGAGGATTGCGTTGGAAACGGGATTACATATAAAAAGCAGACAGCAGCATTCCCAGTAACTTCTTTGTGATGTTTGCATTCAAGTCACACAGTTGAACATTCCCTTTCATAGAGCAGGTTTGAAACACTCTTTTTGAAGTATCTGGATGTGGACATTTGGAGCGCTTTCAGGCCTATGGTGAAAAAGGAAATATCTTCCCCTGAAAACTAGACAGAAGCATTCTCAGAAACTTATTTGTGATGTGCGCCCTCAACTAACAGTGTTAAACCTTTCTTTTGATAGAGTAGTTTTGAAACACTCTTTTTGTAAAATCTGCAAGAGGATATTTGGATAGCTTTGAGGATTTCTTTGGAAACGGGATTGTCTTCATATAAATTCTAGACAGTAGCATTCTCAGAAGCGTCATTGGGATGTTTCAATTGAAGTCACAGTGTTGAACATTCCCTTTCATAGAGCAGGTTTGAAACACTCTTTTTGTAGTATCTGGATGTGGACATTTGGAGCGCTTTCAGGCCTATGGTTTAAAAGGAAGTATCTTCCCCTGAAAACTAGACAGAAGCATTCCCAGAAACTTCTTTGTGATGTTTGCATTCAAGTCACAGAGTTGAACATTCCCTTTCATAGAGCAGGTTTGAAACACTCTTTGTGTAGTATCTGGATGTGGACATTTGGAGCGCTTTCAGGCCTATGGTGAAAAAGGAAATATCTTCCCCTGAAAACCAGACAGAAGCATTCTCGGAATCTTATTTGTGATGTGCGCCCTCAACTAACAGTGTTGAAGCTTTCTTTTGATAGAGCAGTTTTGAAACACTCTTTTTGTAAAATCTGCAAGAGGATATTTGGATAGCTTTGAGGATTTCGTTGGAAACGGGATTGTCTTCATATAAACTCTAGACAGAAGCATTCTCAGAAGCTTCATTGGGATGTTTCAATTGAAGTCACAGTGTTGAACAGTCCCTTTCATAGAGCAGGTTTGAAACACTCTTTTTGTAGTATCTGGAAGTGGACATTTGGAGCGCTCTCAGGACTACGGTGAAAAAGGAAATATCTTCCAATAAAAGCTACATAGAAGCAATGTCAGAAACTTTTTCATGATGTATCTACTCAGCTAACAGAGTTGAACCTTTCTTTTGAGAGAGCAGTTTTGAAACACTCTTTTTGTGGAATCTGCAAGTGGATATTTGTCTAGCTTTGAGGATTTCGTTGGAAACAGGATTACATATAAAAAGCAGACAGCAGCATTCCCAGAATCTTCTTTGTGATGTTTGCATTCAAGTCACAGAGTTGAACATTCCCTTTCATAGAGCAGGTTTGAAACACTCTTTTTGTAGTATCTGGATGTGGACATTTGGAGCGCTTTCAGGCCTATGGTGAAAAAGGAAATATCTTCCCCTGAAAACTAGACAGAAGCATTCTCAGAATCTTATTTGTGATGTGCGCCCTCAACTAACAGTGTTGAAGCTTTCTTTTGATAAAGCAGTTTTGAAACACTCTTTTTGTAAAATCTGCAAGAGGATATTTGGATAGCTTTGAGGATTTCGTTGGAAACGGTATTGTCTTCATATAAACTCTAGACAGAAGCATTCTCAGAAGCTTCATTGGGATGTTTCAATTGAAGTCACAGTGTTGAACAGTCCCTTTCATAGAGCAGGTTTGAAACACTCTTTTTGTAGTATCTGGATGTGGACATTTGGAGCGCTTTCAGGCCTATGGTGAAAAAGGAAATATCTTCCCCTGAAAACTAGACAGAAGCATTCTCAGAATCTTATTTGTGATGTGCGCCCTCAACTAACAGTGTTGAAGCTTTCTTTTGATAGAGCAGTTTTGAAACACTCTTTTTGTAATATCTGCAAGAGGATATTTGGATAGCTTTGAGGATTTCGTTGGAAACGGGATTAATTATAAAAAGCAGACAGCAGCATTCTCAGAAACTTATTTGTGATGTGCGCCCTCAACTAACAGTGTTGAAGCTTTCTTTTGATAGAGCAGTTTTGAAACACTCTTTTTGTAATATCTGCAAGAGGATATTTGGATAGCTTTGAGGATTTCGTTGGAAACGGGATTAATTATACAAAGCAGACAGCAGCATTCTCAGAAACTTCATTGGGATGTTTCAATTGAAGTCACAGTGTTGAACAGTCCCTTTCATAGAACAGGTTTGAAACACTCTTTTTGTAGTATCTGGAAGTGGACATTTGGAGCGCTCTCAGGACTATGGTGAAAAAGGAAATATCTTCCAATAAAAGCTTCATAGAAGCAATGTCAGAAACTTTTTCATGATGTATCTACTCAGCTAACAGCAGTTGAACCTTTCTTTTGAGACAGCAGTTTTGAAACACTCTTTTTGTGGAATCTGGAAGTGGATATTTGTCTAGCTTTGAGGATTTCGTTGGAAACGGGATTACATATAAAAAGCAGACAGCAGAATTCCCAGTAACTTCTTTGTGATGTTTGCATTCAAGTCACAGAGTTGAACATTCCCTTTCATAGAGCAGGTTTGAAACACTCTTTTTGTAGTATCTGGATGTGGACATTTGCAGCGCTTTCAGGCCTAAGGTGAAAAAGGAAATATCTTCCCCTGAAAACTAGACAGAAGTAGTCTCAGAAACTTATTTGTGATGTGCGCCCTCAACTAACAGTGTTGAAGCTTTCTTTTGATAGAGCAGTTTTGAAACATTCTTTTTGTAAAATCTGCAAGAGGATATTTGGATAGCTTTGAGGATTTCGTTGGAAACGGGATTGTCTTCATATTAACCCTAGACAGTAGCATTCTCAGAAGCTTCATTGGGATGTTTCAATTGAAGTCACAGTGTTGAACAGTCCCTTTCATAGAGCAGGTTTGAAACACTCTTTTTGTAGTATCTGGATGTGGACATTTGGAGCGCTTTCAGGCCTATTTTTTAAAAGGAAATATCTTCCCCTGAAAACTAGACAGAAGCATTCTCAGAAACTTATTTGTGATGTGCGCCCTCAACTAACAGTGTTGAACCTTTCTTTTGATAGAGCAGTTTTGAAACACTCTTTTTGTGGAATCTGCAAGTGGATATTTGTCTAGCTTTGAGGATTTCGTTGGAAACGGGATTACATATAAAAAGCAGACAGCAGCATTCTCAGAAACTTATTTGTGATGTGCGCCCTCAACTAACAGTGTTGAAGCTTTCTTTTGATAGAGCAGTTTTGAAACACTCTTTTTGTAATATCTGCAAGAGGATATTTGGATAGCTTTGAGGATTTCGTTGGAAACGGGATTAATTATACAAAGCAGACAGCAGCATTCTCAGAAGCTTCATTGGGATGTTTCAATTGAAGTCACAGTGTTGAACAGTCCCTTTCATAGAGCAGGTTTGAAACACTCTTTTTGTAGTATCTGGAAGTGGACATTTGGAGCGCTCTCAGGACTACGGTGAAAAAGGAAATATCTTCCAATAAAAGCTACATAGAAGCAATGTCAGAAACTTTTTCATGATGTATCTACTCAGCTAACAGAGTTGAACCTTTCTTTTGAGAGAGCAGTTTTGAAACACTCTTTTTGTGGAATCTGCAAGTGGATATTTGTCTAGCTTTGCGGATTTCGTTGGAAACGGGATTACATATAAAAAGCAGACAGCAGCATTCCCAGTAACTTCTTTTTGATGTTTGCATTCAAGTCACAGAGTTGAACATTCCCTTTCATAGAGCAGGTTTGAAACACTCTTTTTGTAGTATCTGGATGTGGACATTTGGAGCGCTATCAGGCCTATGGTGAAAAAGGAAATATCTTCCCCTGAAAACTAGACAGAAGCATTCTCAGAATCTTATTTGTGATGTCCGCCCTCAACTAACAGTGTTGAAGCTTTCTTTTGATAGAGCAGTTTTGAAACACTCTTTTTGTAAAATCTGCAAGAGGATATTTGGATAGCTTTGAGGATTTCGTTGGAAACGGGATTGTCTTCATATAAACTCTAGACAGAAGCATTCTCAGATGCTTCATTGGGACGTTTCAATTGAAGTCACAGTGTTGAACAGTCCGTTTCATAGAGCAGGTTTGAAACACTCTTTTTGTAGTATCTGGATGTGGACATTTGGAACGCTTTCAGGCCTATGGTGAAAAAGGAAATATCTTCCCCTGAAAACTAGACAGAAGCATTCTCAGAAACTTATTTGTGATGTGCCCCCTCAACTAACAGTGTTGAAGCTTTCTTTTGATAGAGCAGTTTTGAAACACTCTTTTTGTGGAATCTGCAAGTGAATATTTGTCTAGCTTTGAGGATTTCGTTGGAAACGGGATTACATATAAAAAGCAGACAGCAGCATTCTCAGAATGTTATTTGTGATGTGCACCCTCAACTAACAGTGTTGAAGCTTTCTTTTGATAGAGCAGTTTTGAAACACTCTTTTTGTAAAATCTGCAAGAGGATATTTGGATAGCTTTGAGGATTTCGTTGGAAACGGGATTGTCTTCATATAAACTCTAGACAGAAGCATTCTCAGAAGCTTCATTGGGATGTTTCAATTGAAGTCACAGTGTTGAACAGTCCCTTTCATAGAGCAGGTTTGAAACACTCTTTTTGTAGTATCTGGAAGTGGACATTTGGAGAGATCTCAGGAATACGGTGATAAAGGAAATATCTTCCAATAAAAGCTAGATAGAAGCAATGTCAGAAACTTTTTCATGATGTATCTACTCAGCTAACAGAGTTGAACATTTTTTCTGAGAGAGCAGTTTTGAAACACTCTTTTTGTGGAATCTGCAGGTGGATATTTGTCTAGCTTTCAGGATTATGTTGGAAACGGGATTACATATAAAAAGCAGACAGCAGCATTCCCAGAAACTTCTTTGTGATGTTTGCATTCAAGTCACAGAGTTGAACATTCCCTTTCATAGAGCAGGTTTGAAACACTCTTTTTGTAGTATCTGGATGTGGACATTTGGAGCGCATTCAGGCCTATGGTGAAAAAGGAAATATCTTCCCCTGAAAACTAGACAGAAGCATTCTCAGAAACTTATTTGTGATGTGCGCCCTCAACTAACAGTGTTGAAGCTTTCTTTTGATAGAGCAGTTTTGAAACACTCTTTTTGTAATATCTGCAAGAGGATATTTGGATAGCTTTGAGGATTTCGTTGGAAACGGGATTGTCTTCATATAAACTCTAGACAGAAGCATTCTCAGAAGCTTCATTGGGATGTTTCAATTGAAGTCACAGTGTTGAACAGTCCCTTTCATAGAGCAGGTTTGAAACACTCTTTTTGTAGTATCTGGAAGTGGACATTTGGAGCGCACTCAGGACTGCGGTGAAAAAGGAAATATCTTCCAATAAGAGCTAGATAGAAGCAATGTCAGAAACTTTTTCATGATGTATCTACTCAGCTAACAGAGTTGAACCTTCCTTTGAGAGAGCAGTTTTGAAACACTCTTTTTGTGGAATCTGCAAGTGGATATTTGTCTAGCTTTGAGGATTTCGTTGGAAACGGGATTACATATAAAAAGCAGACAGCCAGCATTCCCAGTAACTTCTTTGTGATGTTTGCATTCAACTCACAGAGTTGAACATTCCCTTTCATAGAGCAGGTTTGAAACACTCTTTTTGTAGTATCTGGATGTGGACATTTGGAGCGCTTTCAGGCCTATGGTGAAAAAGGAAATATCTTCCCCAGAAAACTAGACAGAGCATTCTCAGAATCTTATTTGTGATGTGCGCCCTCAACTAACAGTGTTGAAGCTTTCTTTTGATAGAGCAGTTTTGAAACACTCTTTTCGTAATATCTGCAAGAGGATATTTCGATAGCTTTGAGGATTTCGTTGGAAACGAGATTGTCTTCATATAAACTCTAGACAGAAGCATTCTCAGAAGCGTCATTGGGATGTTTCAATTGAAGTCACACTGTTGAACAGTCCCTTTCATAGAGCAGGTTTGAAACACTCTTTTTGTAGTATCTGGATGTGGACATTTGGAGCGCTTTCAGGCCTATGGTGAAAAAGGAAATATCTTCCCCTGAAAACTAGACAGAAGCATTCTCAGAAACTTATTTGTGATGTGCGCCCTCAACTAACAGTGTTGAAGCTTTCTTTTGATAGAGCAGTTTTGAAACACTCTTTTTGTGGAATCTGCAAGTGGATATTTGTCTAGCTTTGAGGATTTCGTTGGAAACGGGATTACATATAAAAAGCAGACAGCAGCATTCTCAGTAATCTTATTTGTGATGTGCGCCCTCAACTAACAGTGTTGAAGCTTTCTTTTGATGGAGCAGTTTTGGAACACTCTTTTTGTAAAATCTGCAAGAGGATATTTGGATAGCTTTGAGGATTTCGTTGGAAACGGGACTGTCTTCATATAAACTCTAGACAGAAGCATTCTCAGAAGCTTCATTGGGATGTTTCAATTGAAGTCACAGTGTTGAACAGTCCCTTTCATAGAGCAGGTTTGAAACACTCTTTTTGTAGTATCGGGAAGTGGACATTTGGAGCGTTCTCAGGACTACGGTGAAAAAGGAAATATCTTCCAATAAAAGCTAGATAGAAGCAATGTCAGAAACTTTTTCATGATGTATCTGCTCAGCTAACAGAGATGAACCTTTCTTTTGAGAGAGCAGCTTTGAAACACTCTTTTTGTGGAATATGCAAGTGGATATTTGTCTAGCTTTGAGGATTTCGTTGGAAACGGGATTACATATAAAAAGCAGACAGCAGCATTCCCAGAAACTTCTTTGTGATGTTTGCATTCAAGTCACAGAGTTGAACATTCCCTTTCACACAGCAGGTTTGAAACACTCTTTTTGTAATATCTGGATGTGGACATTTGGAGCGCTTTCAGGCCTATGGTGAAAAAGGAAATATCTTCCCCTGAAAACTAGACAGAAGCATTCTCAGAAACTTATTTGTGATGTGCGCCCTCAACTAACAGTGTTGAAGCTTTCTTTTGATAGAGCAGTTTTGAAACACTCTTTTTGTAATATCTGCAAGAGGATATTTGGATAGCTTTGAGGATTTCGTTGGAAACGGGATTGTCTTCATATAAACTCTAGGCAGAAGCATTCTCAGTAAGCTTCATTGGGATGTTTCAATTGAAGTTACAGTGTTGAACAGTCCCTTTCATAGAGCAGGTTTCAAACACTCTTTTTGTAGTATCTGGATGTGGACATTTGGAGCGCTTTCAGGCCTATGGTTTAAAAGGAAATATCTTCCCCTGAAAACTAGACAGAAGCATTCTCAGAAACTTATTTGTGATGTGCGCCCTCAACTAACAGTGTTGAAGCTTTCTTTTGATAGAGCAGTTTTGAAACACTCTTTTTGTAATATCTGCAAGAGGATATTTGGATAGCTTTGAGGATTTCGTTGGAAACGGGATTAATTATAAAAAGCAGACAGCAGCATTCTCAGTAAACTTATTTGTGATGTGCGCCCTCAACTAACAGTGTTGAACCTTTCTTTTGATAGAGCAGTTTTGAAACACTCTTTTTGTAATATCTGCAAGAGGATATTTGGATAGCTTTGAGGATTTCGTTGGAAACGGGATTGTCTTCATATAAACTCTAGACAGAAGCATTCCCAGTAACTTCGTTGTGAGGTTTGCATTCAAGTGACAGAGTTGAACATTCCCTTTCATAGAGCAGGTTTGAAACACTCTTTTTGTAGTATCTGGATTTGGACATTTGGAGCGCTTTCAGGCCTATGGTGAAAAAGGAAATATCTTCCAATAAAAGCTACATAGAAGCAATGTCAGAAACTTTTTCATGATGTATCTACTCAGCTAACAGAGTTGAACCTTTCTTTTGAGAGAGCAGTTTTGAAACACTCTTTTTGTGGAATCTGGAAGTGGATATTTGTCTAGCTTTGAGGATTTCGTTGGAAACGGGATTACATATAAAAAGCAGACAACAGCATTCCCAGTAACTTCTTTGTGATGTTTGCATTCAAGTCACAGAGTTGAACATTCCCTTTCATAGAGCAGTTTTGAAACACTCTTTTTGTAGTATCTGGATGTGGACATTTGGAGCGCTTTCAGGCCTATGGTGAAAAAGGAAATATCTTCCCCTGAAAACTAGACAGAAGCATTCTCAGAAACTTATTTGTGATGTGCGCCCTCAACTAACAGTGTTGAACCTTTCTTTTGATAGAGCAGTTTTGAAACACTCTTTTTGTAATATCTGCAAGAGGATATTTGGATAGCATTGAGGATTTCTTTGGAAAAGGGATTGTCTTCATATAAACTCTAGACAGAAGCATTCTCAGAAGCTTCATTGGGATGTTTCAATTGAAGTCACAATGTTGAACAGTCCCTTTCATAGAGCAGGTTTGAAACACTCTTTTTGTAGTATCTGGATGTGGACATTTGGAGCGCTTTCAGGCCTATGGTGAAAAAGGAAATATCTTCCCCTGAAAACTAGACAGAAGCATTCTCAGAAACTTATTTGTGATGTGCGCCTTCAACTAACAGTGTTGAAGCATTCTTTTGATAGAGCAGTTTTGAAACACTCTTTTTGTGGAATCTGCAAGTGGATATTTGTCTAGCTTTGAGGATTTCGTTGGAAACGGGATTACATATAAAAAGCAGACAGCAGCATTCTCAGAAACTTATTTGTGATGTGCGCCCTCAACTAACAGTGTTGAAGCTTTCTTTTGATAGAGCAGTTTTGAAACACTCTTTTTGTAATATCTGCAAGAGGATATTTGGATAGCTTTGAGGATTTCGTTGGAAACGGGATTAATTATACAAAGCAGACAGCAGCATTCTCAGAAGCTTCATTGGGAGGTTTCAATTGAAGTCACAGTGTTGAACAGTTCCTTTCATAGAACAGGTTTGAAACACTCTTTTTGTAGTATCTGGAAGTGGACATTTGGAGCGCTCTCAGGACTATGGTGAAAAAGGAAATATCTTCCAATAAAAGCTACATAGAAGCAATGTCAGAAACTTTTTCATGATGTATCTACTCAGCTAACAGAGTTGAACCTTTCTTTTGAGAGAGCAGTTTTGAAACACTCTTTTTGTAGAATCTGCAAGTGGATATTTGTCTAGCTTTGAGGATTTCGTTGGAAACGGGATTACATATACAAAGCAGACAGCAGCATTCCCAGAAACTTCTTTGTGATGATTGCATTCAAGTCACAGAGTTGAACATTCCCTTTCAGAGAGCAGGTTTGAAACACTCTTTTTATAGTATCTGGATGTGGACATTTGGAGCGCTTTCAGGCCTATGATGAAAAAGGAAATATCTTCTCCTGAAAACTAGACAGAAAGCATTCTCAGAATCTTATTTGTGATGTGCGCCCTCAACTAACAGTGTTGAAGCTTTCTTTTGATAGAGCAGTTTTGAAACACTCTTTTTGTAAAATCTGCAAGAGGATATTTGGATAGCTTTGAGGATTTCGTTGGAAACGGAATTGTCTTCATATAAACTCTAGACAGAAGCATTCTCAGAAGCTTCATTGGGATGTTTCAATTGAAGTCACAGTGTTGAACAGTCCCTTTCATAGAGCAGGTTTCAAACACTCTTTTTGTAGTATCTGGATGTGGACATTTGGAGCGCTTTCAGGCCTATGGTTTAAAAGGAAATATCTTCCCCTGAAAACTAGACAGAAGCATTCTCAGAAACTTATTTGTGATGTGCGCCCTCAGCTAAGAGTGTTGAAGCATTCTTTTGATAGAGCAGTTTTGAAACACTCTTTTTGTGGAATCTGCAAGTGGATATTTGTCTAGCTTTGAGGATTTCGTTGGAAACGGGATTACATATAAAAAGCAGACAGCAGCATTCTCAGAAACTTATTTGTGATGTGCGCCCTCAACTAACAGTGTTGAAGCTTTCTTTTGATAGAGCAGTTTTGAAACACTCTTTTTGTAATATCTGCAAGAGGATATTTGGATAGCTTTGAGGATTTCGTTGGAAACGGGATTAATTATACAAAGCAGACAGCAGCATTCTCAGAAGCTTCATTGGGATGTTTCAATTGAAGTCACAGTGTTGAACAGTCCCTTTCATAGAGCAGGTTTGAAACACTCTTTTTGTAGTATCTGGAAGTGGACATTTTGAGAGATCTCAGGAATACGGTGATAAAGGAAATATCTTCCAATAAAAGCTACATAGAAGCAATGTCAGAAACTTTTTCATGATGTATCTACTCAGCTAACAGAGTTGAACCTTTCTTTTGAGAGAGCAGTTTTGAAACACTCTTTTTGTAAAATCTGCAAGAGGATATTTGGATAGTTTTGAGGATTTCGTTGGAAACGGGATTGTCTTCATATAAACTCTAGACAGAAGCATTCCCAGAAAGTTCTTTGTGAAATTTGCATTCAAGTCACAGACATGAACATTCCCTTTCATAGAGCAGGTTTGAAACTCTCTTTTTGTAGTATCTGGATGTGGACATTTGAAGCGCTTTCAGGCCTATGGTGAAAAAGGAAATATCTTCCCCTGAAAACTAGACAGAAGCATTCTCAGAATCTTATTTGTGATGTGCGCCGTCAACTAACAGTGTTGAAGCTTTCTTTTGATAGAGCAGTTTTGAAACACTCTTTTCGTAAAATCTGCAGGAGGATATTTTGATAGCTTTGAGGATTTCGTTGGAAACGGGATTGTCTTCATATAAACTCTAGACAGAAGCATTCTCAGAAGCTTCATTGGGATGTTTCAATTGAAGTCACAGTGTTGAACAGTCCCTTTCATAGAGCAGGTTTGAAACACTCTTTTTGTAGTATCTGGATGTGGACATTTGGAGCGCTTTCAGGCCTATGGTTTAAAAGGAAATATCTTCCCCTGAAAAATAGACAGAAGCATTCTCAGAAACTTATTTGTGATGTGCGCCCTCAACTAACAGTGTTGAAGCTTTCTTTTGATAGAGCAGTTTTGAAACACTCTTTTTGTGGAATCTGCAAGTGGATATTTGTCTAGCTTTGAGGATTTCGTTGGAAACGGGATTACATATAAAAAGCAGACAGCAGCATTCTCAGAAACTTATTTGTGATGTGCGCCCTCAACTAACAGTGTTGAAGCTTTATTTTGATAGAGCAGTTTTGAAACACTCTTTTTGTAATATCTGCAAGAGAATATTTGGATAGCTTTGAGGATTTCGTTGGAAACGGGATTGTCTTCATATAAACTCTAGAAAGAAGCATTCTCAGAAGCTTCATTGGGATGTTTCAATTGAAGTCACAGTGTTGAACAGTCCCTTTCATAGAGCAGGTTTGAAACACTCTTTTTGTAGTATCTGGAAGTTGACATTTGGAGCGTTTTCAAGACTACGGTGAAAAAGGAAATATCTTCCAAATAAAGCTAGATAGAAGCAATGTCAGAAAATTGTTCATGATGTATCTACTCAGCTAACACAGTTGAACCTTTCTTTTGAGACAGCAGTTTTGAAACACTCTTTTGGTGGAATCTGCAAGTGGATATTTGTCTAGCTTTGAGGATTTCGTTGGAAACGGGATTACATATAAAAAGCAGACAGCAGCATTCCCAGTAACTTCTTTGTGATGTTTGCATTCAAGTCACAGAGTTGAACATTCCCTTTCATAGAGCAGGTTTGAAACACTTTTTTTGTAGTATCTGGATGTGGACATTTGGAGCGCTTTCAGGCCTATGGTGAAAAAGGAAATATCTTCCAATAAAAGCTACATAGAAGCATTCTCAGAAACTTATTTGTGATGTGCGCCCTCAACTAACAGTGTTGAACTTTTCTTTTGATAGAGCAGTTTTGAAACACTCTTTTTGTAAAATCTGCAAGAGGATATTTGGATAGCTTTGAGGATTTCGTTGGAAACGGGATTGTCTTCATATAAAATCTAGACAGAAGCATTCTCAGAAGCTTCATTGGGATGTTTCAATTGAAGTCACAGTGTTGAACAGTCCCTTTGATAGAGCAGGTTTGAAACACTCTTTTTGTAGTATCTGGATGTGGACATTTGCAGCGCTTTCAGGCATAAGGTGAAAAAGGAAATATCTTCCCCTGAAAACTAGACAGAAGCATTCTCAGAAACTTATTTGTGATGTGCGCCTTCAACTAACAGTGTTGAAGCATTCTTTTGATAGAGCAGTTTTGAAACACTCTTTTTGTGGAATCTGCAAGTGGATATTTGTCTAGCTTTGAGGATTTCGTTGGAAACGGGATTACATATAAAAAGCAGACAGCAGCATTCTCAGAATCTTATTTGTCATGTGCGCCCTCAACTAACAGTGTTGAAGCTTTCTTTTGATAGAGCAGTTTTGAAACACTCTTTTTGTAAAATCTGCAAGAGGATATTTGGATAGCTTTGAGGATTTCTTTGGAAACGGGATTGTCTTCATATAAACTCTAGACAGAAGCATTCTCAGAAGCTTCATTGGGATGTTTCAATTGAAGTCACAGTGTTGAACAGTCCCTTTCATAGAGCAGGTT
This sequence comes from Homo sapiens, assembly GCF_000001405.40. Lineage (NCBI taxonomy): Eukaryota > Metazoa > Chordata > Mammalia > Primates > Hominidae > Homo > Homo sapiens. Next base: position 93,980,301 of record NC_000002.12, read on the forward strand.
TGAAACACTCTTTTTGTAGTATCTGGAAGTGGACATTTGGAGCGCTCTCAGGACTGCGGTGAAAAAGGAAATATCTTCCAATAAAAGCTACATAGAAGCAATGTCAGAAACTTTTTCATGATGTATCTACTCAGCTAACAGAGTTGAACCTTTCTTTTGAGAGAGCAGTTTTGAAACACTCTTTTTGTGGAATCTGCAAGTGGATATTTGTCTAGCTTTGAGGATTTCGTTGGAAACGGGATTACATATAAAAAGCAGACAGCAGCATTCCCAGAAACTTCTTTGTGAAATTTGCATTCAAGTCACAGACTTGAACATTCCCTTTCATAGAGCAGGTTTGAAACAGTCTTTTTGTAGTATCTGGATGTGGACATTTGGAGCGCTTTCAGGCCTATGGTGAAAAAGGAAATATCTTCCCCTGTAAACTAGACAGAAGCATTCTCAGAAACTTATTTGTGATGTGCGCCCTCAACTAACAGTGTTGAAGCTTTCTTTTGATAGAGCAGTTTTGAAACACTCTTTTTGTAATATCTGCAAGAGGATATTTGGATAGCTTTGAGGATTTCGTTGGAAACGGGATTGTCTTCATATAAACTCTAGACAGAAGCATTCTCAGAAGCTTCATTGGGATGTTTCAATTGAAGTCACAGTGTTGAACAGTCCCTTTCATAGAACAGGTTTGAAACACTCTTTTTGTAGTATCTGGATGTGGACATTTGGAGCGCTTTCAGGCCTACGGTGAAAAAGGAAATATCTTCCCCTGAAAACTAGACAGAAGCATTCTCAGAAACTTATTTGTGATTTGCGCCCTCAACTAACAGTGTTGAAGCTTTCTTTTGATAGAGCAGTTTTGAAACACTCTTTTTGTGGAATCTGCAAGTGGATATTTGTCTAGCTTTGAGGATTTCATTGGAAACGGGATTACATAAAAAAAGCAGCCAGCAGCATTCTCAGTAAACTTATTTGTGATGTGCGCCCTCAACTAACAGTGTTGAACCTTTCTTTTGATAGAGCAGTTTTGAAACACTCTTTTTGTAATATCTGCAAGAGGATATTTGGATAGCTTTGAGGATTTCGTTGGAAACGGGATTGTCTTCATATAAACTCTAGACAGAAGCATTCTCAGAAGCTTCATTGGGATGTTTCAATTGAAGTCACAGTGTTGAACAGTCCCTTTCATAGAGCAGGTTTGAAACACTCTTTTTCTAGTATCTGGAAGTGGACATTTTGAGAGATCTCAGGAATACGGTGATAAAGGAAATATCTTCCAATAAAAGCTAGATAGAAGCAATGTCAGAAACTTTTTCATGATGTATCTACTCAGCTAACAGAGTTGAACATTTCTTTTGAGAGAGCAGTTTTGAAACACTCTTTTTGTGGAATCTGCAAGTGGATATTTGTCTAGCTTTGAGGATTTCGTTGGAAATGGGATTACATATAAAAAGCAGACAGCAGCATTCCCAGAATCTTGTTTGTGACGTTTGCATTCAAGTCACAAAGTTGAACATTCCCTTTCAGAGAGCAGGTTTGAAACACTCTTTTTATAGTATCTGGATGTGGACATTTTGAGCGCTTTCAGGCCTATGGTGAAAAAGGAAATATCTTCTCCTGAAAACTAGACAGAAGCATTCTCAGAATCTTATTTGTGATGTGTGCCCTCAACTAACAGTGTTGAAGCTTTCTTTTGATAGAGCAGTTTTGAAACACTCTTTTCGTAAAATCTGCAAGAGGATATTTTGATAGCTTTGAGGATTTCGTTGGAAACGGGATTGTCTTCATATAAACTCTAGACAGAAGCATTCTCAGAAGCTTCATTGGGATGTTTCAATTGAAGTCACAGTGTTGAACAGTCCCTTTCATAGAGCAGGTTTGAAACACTCTTTTTGTAGTATCTGGATGTGGACATTTCGAGCGCTTTCAGGCCTATGGTGAAAAAGGAAATATCTTCCCCTGAAAACTAGACAGAAGCATTCTCAGAAACTTATTTGTGATGTGCGCCCTCAACTAACAGTGTTGAAGCATTCTTTTGATAGAGCAGTTTTGAAACACTCTTTTTGTGGAATCTGCAAGTGGATATTTGTACTAGCTTTGAGGATTTCGTTGGAAACGGGATTACATATAAAAAGCAGACAGCAGCATTCTCAGAAACTTATTTGTGATGTGCGCCCTCAACTAACAGTGTTGAAGCTTTCTTTTGATAGAGCAGTTTTGAAACACTCTTTTTGTAATATCTGCAAGAGGATATTTGGATAGCTTTGAGGATTTCGTTGGAAACGGGATTAATTATACAAAGCAGACAGCAGCATTCTCAGAAGCTTCATTGGGATGTTTCAATTGAAGTCACAGTGTTGAACAGTCCCTTTCATAGAGCAGGTTTGAAACACTCTTTTTGTAGTATCTGGAAGTGGACATTTGGAACGCTCTCAGGACTGCGGTGAAAAAGGAAATATCTTCCAATAAAAGCTAGATAGAAGCAATGTCAGAAACTTTTTCATGATGTACCTACTCAGCTAACAGAGTTGAACCTTTCTTTTGAGAGAGCAGTTTTGAAACACTCTTTTTGTGGAATCTGCAAGTGGATATTTGTCTAGATTTGAGGATTTCGTTGGAAACGGGATTACATATAAAAAGCAGACAGCAGCATTCCCAGAAACTTCTTTGTGATGTTTGCATTCAAGTCACAGAGTTGAACATTCCCTTTCATAGAGCAGGTTTGAAACACTCTTTTTGTAGTATCTGGATGTGGACATTTGGAGTGCTTTCAAGCCTATGGTGAAAAAGGAAATATCTTCCCCTGAAAACTAGACAGAAGCATTCTCAGAATCTTATTTGTGATGTGCGCCCTCAACTAACAGTGTTGAAGCTTTCTTTTGATAGAGCAGTTTTGAAACACTCTTTTTGTAAAATCTGCAAGAGGATATTTGGATAGCTTTGAGGATTTCGTTGGAAACGGGATTGTCTTCATATAAACTCTAGACAGAAGCATTCTCAGAAGCGTCATTGGGATGTTTCAATTGAAGTCACAGTGTTGAACAGTCCCTTTCATAGAGCAGGTTTGAAACACTCTTTTTGTAGTATCTGGATGTGGACATTTGGAGCGCTTTCAGGCCTATGGTTTAAAAGGAAATATCTTCCCCTGAAAACTAGACAGAAGCATTCTCAGAAACTTATTTGTGATGTGCGCCCTCAACTAACAGTGTTGAACCTTTCTTTTGATAGAGCAGTTTTGAAACACTCTTTTTCTAATATCTGCAAGAGGATATTTGGATAGCTTTGAGGATTTCGTTGGAAACGGGATTACATATAAAAAGCAGACAGCAGCATTCTCAGTAAACTTATTTGTGATGTGCGCCCTCAACTAACAGTGTTGAACCTTTCTTTTGATAGAGCAGTTTTGAAACACTCTTTTTGTAATATCTGCAAGAGGATATTTGGATAGCTTTGAGGATTTCGTTGGAAACGGGATTGTCTTCATATAAACTCTAGACAGAAGCATTCTCAGAAGCTTCATTGGGATGTTTCAATTGAAGTCACAGTGTTGAACAGTCCCTTTCATAGAGCAGGTTTGAAACACTCTTTTTGTAGTATCTGGAAGTGCACATTTGGAGCGATCTCAGGACTACGGCGAAAAAGGAAATATCTTCCAATAAAAGCTAGATAGAAGCAATGTCAGAAACATTTTCGTGATGTATCTACTCAGCTAACAGAGTTGAAACTTTCTTTTGAGAGAGCAGTTTTGAAACACTCTTTTTGTGGAATCTGCAAGTGGATATTTGTCTAGCTTTGAGGATTTCGTTGGAAACGGGATTACATATAAAAAGCAGACAGCAGCATTCCCAGAAACTTCTTTGTGATGTTTGCATTCAAGTCACAGAGTTGAACATTCCCTTTCATAGAGCAGGTTTGAAACACTCTTTTTGTAGTATCTGGATGTGGACATTTGGAGCGCTTTCAGGCCTATGGTGAAAAAGGAAATATCTTCCCCTGAAAACTAGACAGAAGCATTCTCAGAATCTTATTTGTGATGTGCGCCCTCAACTAACAGTGTTGAAGCTTTCTTTTGATAGAGCAGTTTTGAAACTCTCTTTTTGTAAAATCTGCAAGAGGATATTTTGATAGCTTTGAGGATTTCGTTGGAAACGGGATTGTCTTCATATAAACACTAGACAGAAGCATTCTCAGAAGCTTCATTGGGATGTTTCAATTGAAGTCACAGTGTTGAACAGTCCCTTTCATAGAGCAGGTTTGAAACACTCTTTTTGTAGTATCTGGATGTGGACATTTGGAGCGCTTTCAGGCCTATGGTGAAAAAGGAAATATCTTCCCCTGAAAACTAGACAGAAGCATTCTCAGAAACTTATTTGTGATGTGCGCCCTCAACTAACAGTGTTGAAGCTTTCTTTTGATAGAGCAGTTTTGAAACACTCTTTTTGTAATATCTGCAAGAGGATATTTGGATAGCTTTGAGGATTTCGTTGGAAACGGGATTAATTATAAAAAGCAGACAGCAGCATTCTCAGAAACTTATTTGTGATGTGCGCCCTCAACTAACAGTGTTGAAGCTTTCTTTTGATAGAGCAGTTTTGAAACACTCTTTTTGTAATATCTGCAAGAGGATATTTGGATAGCTTTGAGGATTTCGTTGGAAACGGGATTAATTATACAAAGCAGACAGCAGCATTCTCAGAAGCTTCATTGGGATGTTTCAATTGAAGTCACAGTGTTGAACAGTCCCTTTCATAGAGCAGGTTTGAAACACTCTTTTTGTAGTATCTGGAAGTGGACATTTGGAGCGCTCTCAGGACTACGTTGAAAAAGGAAATATCTTCCAATAAAAGCCAGATAGAAGCAATGTCAGAAACTTTTTCATGATGTATCTACTCAGCTAACAGAGTTGAACCTTTCTTTTGAGAGAGCAGTTTTGAAACACTCTTTTTGTGGAATCTGCAAGTGGATATTTGTCTAGCTTTGAGGATTTCGTTGGAAACGGGATTACATATACAAAGCAGACAGCAGCATTCCCAGTAACTTCTTTGTGATGTTTGCATTCAAGTCACAGAGTTGAACATTCCCTTTCATAGAGCAGGTTTGAAACACTCTTTTTGAAGTATCTGGATGTGGACATTTGGAGCGCTTTCAGGCCTATGGTGAAAAAGGAAATATCTTCCCCTGAAAACTAGACAGAAGCATTCTCAGAAACTTATTTGTAATGTGCGCCCTCAACTAACAGTGTTGAACCTTTCTTTTGATAGAGCAGTTTTGAAACACTCTTTTTGTAATATCTGCAGGAGGATATTTGGATAGCTTTGAGGATTTCGTTGGAAACGGGATTGTCTTCATATAAACTCTAGACAGAAGCATTCTCAGAAGCTTCATTGGGATGTTTCAATTGAAGTCACAGTGTTGAACAGTCCCTTTCATAGAGCAGGTTTGAAACACTCTTTTTGTAGTATCTGGATGTGGTCATTTGGAGCGCTTTCAGGCCTATGGTGAAAAAGGAAATATCTTCCCCTGAAAACTAGACAGAAGCATTCTCAGAAACTTATTTGTGATGTGCGCCCTCAACTAACAGTGTTGAAGCTTTCTTTTGATAGAGCAGTTTTGAAACACTCTTTTTGTGGAATCTGCAAGTGGATATTTGTCTAGCTTTGAGGATTTCGTTGGAAACGGGATTACATATAAAAAGCAGACAGCTAAGCATTCTCCGAAACTTATTTGTGATGGGCGCCCTCAACTAACAGTGTTGAAGCTTTCTTTTGATAGAGCAGTTTTGAAACACTCTTTTTGTAATATCTGCAAGAGGATATTTGGATAGCTTTCAGGATTTCGTTGGAAACGGGATTGTCTTCATATAAACTCTAGACATAAGCATTCTCAGAAGCTTCAGTGGGATGTTTCAATTGAAGTCACAGTGTTGAACAGTCCCTTTCATAGAGCAGGTTTGAAACACTGTTTTTGTAGTATCTGGAAGTGGACATTTGGAGAGATCTCAGGAATACGGTGATAAAGGAAATATCTTCCAATAAAAGCTAGATAGAAGCAATGTCAGAAACTTTTTCATGATGTATCTACTCAGCTAACAGAGTTGAACCTTTCTTTTGAGAGAGCAGTTTTGAAACACTCTTTTTGTGGAATCTGGAAGTGGATATTTGTCTAGTTTGAGGATTTCGTTGGAAACGGGATTACATATAAAAAGCAGACAGCAGCATTCCCAGAAACTTCTTTGTGATGTTTGCATTCAAGTCACAGAGTTGAACATTCCCTTTCATAGAGCAGGTTTGAAACACTCTTTTTGTAGTATCTGGATGTGGACATTTGCAGCGCTTTCAGGCCTAAGGTGAAAAAGGAAATATCTTCCCCTGAAAAATAGACAGAAGCATTCTCAGAAACTTATTTGTGATGTGCGCCCTCAAGTAACAGTGTTGAACCTTTCTTTTGATAGAGCAGTTTTGAAACACTCTTTTTGTAAAATCTGCAAGAGGATATTTGGATAGCTTTGAGGATTTCGTTGGAAACGGGATTGTCTTCATATAAACTCTAGACAGAAGCATTCTCAGAAGCGTCATTGGGATGTTTCAATTGAAGTCACAGTGTTGAACAGTCCCTTTCATAGAGCAGGTTTGAAACACTCTTTTTGTAGTATCTGGATGTGGACATTTGGAGCGCTTTCAGGCCTATGGTTTAAAAGGAAATATCTTCCCCTGAAAACTAGACAGAAGCATTCTCAGAAACTTATTTGTGATGTGCGCCCTCAACTAACAGTGTTGAAGCATTCTTTTGATAGAGCAGTTTTGAAACACTCTTTTTGTGGAATCTGCAAGTGGATATTTGTCTAGCTTTGAGGATTTCGTTGGAAACGGGATTACATATAAAAAGCAGACAGCAGCATTCTCAGAAACTTATTTGTGATGTGCGCCCTCAACTAACAGTGTTGAAGCTTTCTTTTGATAGAGCAGTTTTGAAACACTCTTTTTGTAATATCTGCAAGAGGATATTTGGATAGCTTTGAGGATTTCGTTGGAAACGGGATTAATTATACAAAGCAGACAGCAGCATTCTCAGAAGCTTCATTGGGATGTTTCAATTGAAGTCACAGTGTTGAACAGTTCCTTTCATAGAACAGGTTTGAAACACTCTTTTTGTAGTATCTGGAAGTGGACATTTGGAGCGCTCTCAGGACTATGGTGAAAAAGGAAATATCTTCCAATAAAAGCTACATAGAAGCAATGTCAGAAACTTTTTCATGATGTATCTACTCAGCTAACAGAGTTGAAGCTTTCTTTTGAGAGAGCAGTTTTAAAACACTCTTTTTGTGGAATCTGGAAGTGGATATTTGTCTAGCTTTGAGGATTTCTTTGGAAACGGGATTACATATAAAAAGCAGACAGCAGCATTCCCAGAAACTTCTTTGTGATGTTTGCATTCAAGTCACAGAGTTGAACATTCCCTTTCATAGAGCAGGTTTGAAACACTCTTTTTGTAGTATCTGGATGTGGACATTTGCAGCGCTTTCAGGCCTAAGGTGAAAAAGGAAATATCTTCCCCTGAAAACTAGACAGAAGCATTCTCAGAATCTTATTTGTGATGTGCGCCCTCAACTAACAGAGTTGAAGCTTTCTTTTGATAGAGCAGTTTTGAAACACTCTTTTTGTAAAATCTGCAAGAGGATATTTGGATAGCTTTGAGGATTTCGTTGGAAACGGGATTGTCTTCATATAAACTCTAGACAGAAGCATTCTCAGAAGCCTCATTGGGATGTTTCAATTGAAGTCACAGTGTTGAACAGTCCCTTTCATAGAGCAGGTTTGAAACACTCTTTTTGTAGTATCTGGATGTGGACATTTGGAGCGCTTTCAGGCCTATGGTGAAAAAGGAAATATCTTCCTCTGAAAACTAGACAGAAGCATTCTCAGAAACTTATTTGTGATGTGCGCCCTCAACTAACAGTGTTGAACCTTTCTTTTGATAGAGCAGTTTTGAAACACTCTTTTTGTAATATCTGCAAGAGGATATTTGGATAGATTTGAGGATTTCGTTGGAAACGGGATTACATATAAAAAGCAGACAGCAGCATTCCCAGAATCTTGTTTGTGATGTTTGCATTCAAGTCACAGAGTTGAACATTCCCTTTCAGAGAGCAGGTTTGAAACCCTCTTTTTATAGTATCTGGATGTGGACATTTGGAGCGCTTTCAGGCCTATGGTGAAAAAGGAAATATCTTCTCCTGTAAACTAGACAGAAGCATTCTCAGAAGCTTCATTGGGATGTTTCAATTGAAGTCACAGTGTTGAACAGTCCCTTTCATAGAGCAGGTTTGAAACACTCTTTTTGTAGTATCTGGAAGTGGACATTTGGAGCGCTCTCAGGACTACGGTGAAAAAGGAAATATCTTCCAATAAAAGCTAGATAGAAGCAATGTCAGAAACTTTTTCATGATTTATCTACTCAGCTAACAGAGTTGAACCTTTCTTTTGAGAGAGCAGTTTTGAAACACTCTTTTTGTGGAATCTGCAAGTGGATATTTGTCTAGCTTTGAGGATTTCGTTGGAAACGGGATTACATATAAAAAGCAGACAGCAGCATTCCCAGAAACTTCTTTGTGAAGTTTGCATTCAAGTCACAGAGTTGAACATTCCCTTTCATAGAGCAGGTTTGAAACACTCTTTTTGTAGTATCTGTATGTGGACATTTGGAGCGCTTTCAGGCCTATGGTGAAAAAGGAAATATCTTCCCCTGAAAACTAGACAGAAGCATTCTCAGAATCTTATTTGTGATGTGCGCCCTCAATTAACAGTGTTGAAGCTTTCTTTTGATAGAGCAGTTTTGAACCACTCTTTTTGTAAAATCTGCAAGAGGATATTTGGATAGCTTTGAGGATTTCGTTGGAAACGGGATTGTCTTCATATAAACTCTAGACAGAAGCATTCTCAGAAGCTTCATTGGGATGTTTCAATTGAAGTCACAGTGTTGAACAGTCCCTTTCATAGAGCAGGTTTGAAACACTCATTTGTAGTATCTGGATGTGGACATTTGGAGCGCTTTCAGGCCTATGGTGAAAAAGGAAATATCTTCCCCTGAAAACTAGACAGAAGCATTCTCAGAAACTTATTTGTGATGTGCGCCCTCAACTAACAGTGTTGAAGCTTTCTTTTGATAGAGCAGTTTTGAAACACTCTTTTTGTGGAATCTGCAAGTGGATATTTGTCTAGCTTTGAGGATTTCGTTGGAAACGGGATTACATATAAAAAGCAGACAGCAGCATTCTCAGAAACTTATTTGTGATGTGCGCCCTCAACTAACAGTGTTGAAGCTTTCTTTTGATAGAGCAGTCTTGAAAAACTCTTTTTGTAAAATCTGCAAGAGGATATTTGGATAGCTTTGAGTATTTCGTTGGAAACGGGATTGTCTTCATATAAAATCTAGACAGAAGCATTCTCAGAAGCTTCATTGGGATGTTTCAATTGAAGTCACAGTGTTGAACAGTCCCTTTCATAGAGCAGGTTTGAAACACTCTTTTTGTAGTATCTGGAAGTGGACATTTGGAGCGTTCTCAGGACTACGGTGAAAAAGGAAATATGTTCCAATAAAAGCTAGATAGAAGCAATGTCAGAAACTTTTTCATGATCTATCTACTCAGCTAACAGAGTTGAACCTTTCTTTTGAGAGAGCCGTTTTGAAACACTCTTTTTGTGGAATCTGCAAGTGGATATCTGTCTAGCTTTGAGGATTTCGTTGGAAACGGGATTACATATAAAAAGCAGACAGCAGCATTCCCAGTAACTTCTTTGTGATGTTTGCATTCAAGTCACAGAGTTGAACATTGCCTTTCATAGAGCAGGTTTCAAACACTCTTTTTGTAGTATCTGGATGTGGACATTTGGAGCGCTTTCAGGCCTATGGTGAAAAAGGAAATATCTTCCCCTGAAAACTAGACAGAAGCATTCTCAGAAACTTATTTGTGATGTGCGCCCTCAACTAACAGTGTTGAAGCTTTCTTTTGATAGAGCAGTTTTGAAACACTCTTTTTGTAAAATCTGCAAGAGGATATTTGGATAGCTTTGAGGATTTCGTTGGAAACGGGATTGTCTTCATATAAACTCTAGACAGAAGCATTCTCAGAAGCTTCATTGGGATGTTTCAATTGAAGTCACAGTGTTGAACAGTCCCTTTCATAGAGCAGGTTTGAAACACTCTTTTTGTAGTATCTGGATGTGGACATTTCGAGCGCTTTCAGGCCTATGGTGAAAAAGGAAATATCTTCCCCTGAAAACTAGACAGAAGCATTCTCAGAAACTTATTTGTGATGTGCCCCCTCAACTAACAGTGTTGAAGCTTTCTTTTGATAGAGCAGTTTTGAAACACTCTTTTTGTGGAATCTGCAAGTGGATATTTGTCTAGCTTTGAGGATTTCGTTGGAAACGGGATTACATATAAAAAGCAGACAGCAGCATTCTCAGAAACTTATTTGTGATGTGCGCCCTCAACTAACAGTGTTGAAGCTTTCTTTTGATAGAGCAGTTTTGAAACACTCTTTTTGTAATATCTGCAAGAGGATATTTGGATAGCTTTGAGGATTTCGTTGGAAACGGGATTAATTATACAAAGCAGACAGCAGCATTCTCAGAAGCTTCATTGGGCATGTTTCAATTGAAGTCACAGTGTTGAACAGTGCCTTTCATAGAGCAGGTTTGAAACACTCTTTTTGTAGTATCTGGAAGTGGACATTTGGAGCGCTCTCAGGACTACGGTGAAAAAGGAAATATCTTCTAATAAAAGCTAGATAGAAGCAATGTCAGAAACTTTTTCATGATGTATCTACTCAGCTAACAGAGTTGAACCTTCCTTTGAGAGAGCAGTTTTGAAACACTCTTTTTGTGGAATCTGCAAGTGGATATTTGTCTAGCTTTGAGGATTTCGTTGGAAACGGGATTACATATAAAAAGCAGACAACAGCATTCCCAGAAACTTCTTTGTGATGTTTGCATTCAAGTCACAGAGTTGAACATTCCCTTTCATAGAGCAGGTTTGAAACACTCTTTTTGTAGTATCTGGATGTGGACATTTGGAGCGCTTTCAGGCCTATGGTGAAAAAGGAAATATCTTCCCCTGAAAACTAGACAGAAGCATTCTCAGAATCTTATTTGTGATGTGCGCACTCAACTAACAGTGTTGAAGCTTTCTTTTGATAGAGCAGCTTTGAAACAATCTTTTTGTAAAATCTGCAAGAGGATATTTGGATAGCTTTGAGGATTTCGTTGGAAACGGGATTGTCTTCATATAAACTCTAGACAGAAGCATTCTCAGAAGCTTCATTGGGATGTTTCAATTGAAGTCACAGTGTTGAACAGTCCCTTTCATAGAGCAGGTTTGAAACACTCTTTTTGTAGTATCTGGATGTGGACATTTGGAGCGCTTTCAGGCCTATGGTGAAAAAGGAAATATCTTCCCCTGAAAACTAGACAGAAGCATTCTCAGAAACTTATTTGTGATGTGCCCCCTCAACTAACAGTGTTGAAGCTTTCTTTTGATAGAGCAGTTTTGAAACACTCTTTTTGTGGAATCTGCAAGTGGATATTTGTCTAGCTTTGAGGATTTCGTTGGAAACGGGATTACATATAAAAAGCAGACAGCAGCATTCTCAGAAACTTATTTGTGATGTGCGCCCTCAACTAACAGTGTTGAAGCTTTCTTTTGATAGAGCAGTTTTGAAACACTCTTTTTGTAATATCTGCAAGAGGATATTTGGATAGCTTTGAGGATTTCGTTGGAAACGGGATTAATTATACAAAGCAGACAGCATCATTCTCAGAAGCTTCATTGGGATGTTTCAATTGAAGTCACAGTGTTGAACAGTCCCTTTCATAGAGCAGGTTTGAAACACTCTTTTTGTAATATCTGGAAGTGGACATTTGGAGCGTTCTCAGGACTAAGGTGAAAAAGGAAATATCTTCCAATAAAAGCTAGATAGAAGCAATGTCAGAAACTTTTTCATGATGTATCTACGCAGCTAACAGAGTTGAACCTTTTTTTTGAGAGAGCAGTTTTGAAACACTCTTTTTGTGGAATCTGCAAGTGGATGTTTGTCTAGCTTTGAGGATTTCGTTGGAAACGGGATTACATATAAAAAGCAGACAGCAGCATTCCCAGAAACTTCTTTGTGATGTTTGCATTCAAGTCACAGAGTTGAACATTCCCTTTCATAGAGCAGGTTTGAAACACTCTTTTTGTAGTATCTGGATGTGGACATTTGCAGCGCTTTCAGGCCTAAGGTGAAAAAGGAAATATCTTCCCCTGAAAACTAGACAGAAGCATTCTCAGAATCTTATTTGTGATGTGCGCCCTCAACTAACAGTGTTGAAGCTTTCTTTTGATAGAGCAGTTTTGAAACACTCTTTTTGTAAAATCTGCAAGAGGATATTTGGATAGCTTTGAGGATTTCTTTGGAAACGGGATTGTCTTCATATAAACTCTAGACAGAAGCATTCTCAGAAGCTTCATTGGGATGTTTCAATTGAAGTCACAGTGTTGAACAGTCCCTTTCATAGAGCAGGTTTGAAACACTCTTTTTGTAGTATCTGGAAGTGGACATTTGGAGCGCTCTCAGGACTACGGTGAAAAAGGAAGTATCTTCCAATAAAAGCTAGATAGAAGCAATGTCAGAAACTTTTTCATGATGTATCTACTCAGCTAACAGAGTTGAACCTTTCCTTTGAGAGAGCAGTTTTCAAACACTCTTTTTGTGGAATCTGCAAGTGGATATTTGTCTAGCTTTGAGGATTTCGTTGGAAACGGGATTACATATAAAAAGCAGACAGCAGCATTCCCAGAAACTTCTTTGTGATGTTTGCATTCAAGTCACAGAGTTGAACATTCCCTTTCATAGAGCAGGTTTGAAACACTCTTTTTGTAGTATCTGGATGTGGACATTTGCAGCGCTTTCAGGCCTAAGGTGAAAAAGGAAATATCTTCCCCTGAAAACTAGACAGAAGCATTCTCAGAATCTTATTTGTGATGTGCGCCCTCAACTAACAGTGTTGAAGATTTCTTTTGATAGAGCAGTTTTGAAACACTCCTTTTGTAAAATCTGCAAGAGGATATTTGGATAGCTTTGAGGATTTCGTTGGAAACGGGATTGTCTTCATATAAACTCTAGACAGAAGCATTCTCAGAAGCTTCATTGGGATGTTTCAATTGAAGTCACAGTGTTGAACAGTCCCTTTCATAGAGCAGGTTTGAAACACTCATTTGTAGTATCTGGATGTGGACATTTGGAGCGCTTTCAGGCCTATGGTGAAAAAGGAAATATCTTCCCCTGAAAACTAGACAGAAGCATTCTCAGAAACTTATTTGTGATGTGCGCCCTCAACTAACAGTGTTGAAGCATTCTTTTGATAGAGCAGTTTTGAAACACTCTTTTTGTGGAATCTGCAAGTGGATATTTGTCTAGCTTTGAGGATTTCGTTGGAAACGGGATTACATATAAAAAGCAGACAGCAGCATTCTCAGAAACTTATTTGTGATGTGCGCCCTCAACTAACAGTGTTGAAGCTTTATTTTGATAGAGCAGTTTTGAAACACTCTTTTTGTAATATCTGCAAGAGAATATTTGGATAGCTTTGAGGATTTCGTTGGAAACGGGATTGTCTTCATATAAACTCTAGAAAGAAGCATTCTCAGAAGCTTCATTGGGATGTTTCAATTGAAGTCACAGTGTTGAACAGTCCCTTTCGTAGAGCAGGTTTGAAACACTCTTTTTGTAGTATCTGGAAGTGGACATTTGGAGCGCTCTCAGGACTGCAGTGAAAAAGGAAATATCTTCCAATAAAAGCTAGATAGAAGCAATGTCAGAAACTTTTTCATGATGTATCTACTCAGCTAACAGAGTTGAACCTTCCGTTGAGAGAGCAGTTTTGAAACACTCTTTTTGTGGAATCTGCAAGTGGATATTTGTCTAGCTTTGAGGATTTCGTTGGAAACGGGATTACATATAAAAAGCAGACAGCAGCATTCCCAGTAACTTCTTTGTGATGTTTGCATTCAAGTCACAGAGTTGAACACTCCCTTTCATAGAGCAGGTTTGAAACACTCTTTTTGTAGTATCTGGATGTGGACATTTGCAGCGCTTTCAGGCCTAAGGTGAAAAAGGAAATATCTTCCCCTGAAAACTAGACAGAAGCATTCTCAGAATCTTATTTGTGATGTGCGCCCTCAACTAACAGAGTTGAAGCTTTCTTTTGATAGAGCAGTTTTGAAACACTCTTTTTGTAAAATCTGCAAGAGGATATTTGGATAGCTTTGAGGATTTCGTTGGAAACGGGATTGTCTTCATATAAACTCTAGACAGAAGCATTCTCAGAAGCTTCATTGGGATGTTTCAATTGAAGTCACAGTGTTGAACAGTCCCTTTCATAGAGCAGGTTTGAAACACTCTTTTTGTAGTATCTGGATGTGGACATTTGGAGCGCTTTCAGGCCTACGGTTTAAAAGGAAATATCTTCCCCTGAAAACTAGACAGAAGCATTCTCAGAAACTTATTTGTTATGTGCGCCCTCAACTAACAGTGTTGAAGCATTCTTTTGATAGAGCAGTTTTGAAACACTCTTTTTGTGGAATCTGCAAGTGGATATTTGTCTAGCTTTGAGGATTTCGTTGGAAACGGGATTACATATAAAAAGCAGACAGCAGCATTCCCAGAAACTTCTTTGTGATGTTTGCATTCAAGCCACAGAGTTGAACATTCCCTTTCATAGAGCAGGTTTGAAACACTCTTTTTGTAGTATCTGGATGTGGACCTTTGGAGCGCTTTCAGGCCTATGGTGAAAAAGGAAATATCTTCCCCTGAAAACTAGACAGAAGCATTCTCAGAAACTTATTTGTGATGTTCGCCCTCAACTAACAGTGTTGAAGCTTTCTTTTGATAGAGCAGTTTTGAAACACTCTTTTTGTAATATCTGCAAGAGGATATTTGGATAGCTTTGAGGATTTCGTTGGAAACGGGATTGTCTTCATATAAACTCTAGACAGAAGCAATGTCAGAAACTTTTTCATGATGTATCTACTCAGCTAACAGAGTTGAACCTTCCTTTGAGAGAGCAGTTTTGAAACACTCTTTTTGTGGAATCTGCAAGTGGATATTTGCCTAGCTTTGAGGATTTCGTTGGAAACGGGATTACATATAAAAAGCAGACGGCAGCATTCCCAGAAACTTCTTTGTGATGTTTGCATTCAAGTCACAGAGTTGAACATTCCCTTTCATAGAGCAGGTTTGAAACACTCTTTTTGTAGTATCTCTATGTGGACATTTGGAGCGCTTTCAGGCCTATGGTGAAAAAGGAAATATCTTCCCCTGAAAACTAGACAGAAGCATTCTCAGAATCTTATTTGTGATGTGCGCCCTCAACTAACAGTGTTGAAGCTTTCTTTTGATAGAGCAGTTTTGAAACACTCTTTTTGTAAAATCTGCAAGAGGATATTTGGATAGCTTTGAGGATTTCGTTGGAAACGGGATTGTCTTCATACAAATTCTAGACCGAAGCATTCTCAGAAGCTTCATTGGGATGTTTCAATTGAAGTCACAGTGTTGAACAGTCCCTTTCATAGAGCAGGTTTGAAACACTCTTTTTGTAGTATCTGGATGTGGACATTTGCAGCGCTTTCAGGCCTAAGGTGAAAAAGGAAGTATCTTCCCCTGAAAACTAGACAGAAGCATTCTCAGAAACTTATTTGTGATGTGCGCCCTCAACTAACAGTGTTGAAGCTTTCTTTTGATAGAGCAGTTTTGAAACACTCTTTTTGTGGAATCTGCAAGTGGATATTTGTCTAGCTTTGAGGATTTCGTTGGAAACGGGATTACATATAAAAAGCAGACAGCAGCATTCCCAGAATCTTCTTTGTGATGTTTGCATTCAAGTCACAGAGTTGAACATTCCCTTTCATAGAGCAGGTTTGAAACACTCTTTTTATAGTATCTGGATGTGGACATTTGGAGCGCTTTCAGGCCTATGGTGAAAAAGGAAATATCTTCTCATGAAAACTAGACAGAAGCATTCTCAGAAGCTTCATTGGGATGTTTCAGTTGAAGTCACAGTGTTGAACAGTCCCTTTCATAGAGCAGGTTTGAAACACTCTTTTTGTAGTATCTGGAAGTGGACATTTGGAGCGCTCTCAGGACTGCGGTGAAAAAGGAAATATCTTCCAATAAAAGCTAGATAGAAGCAATGTCAGAAACTTTTTCATGATGTATCTACTCAGCTAACAGAGTTGAACCTTTCCTTTGAGAGAGCAGTTTTGAAACACTCTTTTTGTGGAATCTGCAAGTGGATATTTGCTTAGCTTTGAGGATTTCGTTGGAAACGGGATTACATATAAAAAGCAGACAGCAGCATTCCCAGTAACTTCTTTGGGATGTTTGCATTCAAGTCACAGAGTTGAACATTCCCTTTCATAGAGCAGGTTTGAAACACTCTTTTTGAAGTATCTGGATGTGGACATTTGGAGCGCTTTCAGGCCTATGGTGAAAAAGGAAATATCTTCCCCTGAAAACTAGACAGAAGCATTCTCAGAATCTTATTTGTGATGTGCGCCCTCAACTAACAGAGTTGAAGCTTTCTTTTGATAGAGCAGTTTTGAAACACTCTTTTTGTAAAATCTGCAAGAGGATATTTGGATAGCTTTGAGGATTTCGTTGGAAACGGGATTGTCTTCATATAAACTCTAGACAGAAGCATTCTCAGAAGCTTCATTGGGATGTTTCAATTGAAGTCACAGTGTTGAACAGTCCCTTTCATAGAGCAGGTTTGAAACACTCTTTTTGTAGTATCTGGATGTGGACATTTGGAGCGCTTTCAGGCCTATGGTGAAAAAGGAAATATCTTCCCCTGAAAACTAGACAGAAGCATTCTCAGAAACTTATTTGTGATGTGCGCCTTCAACTAACAGTGTTGAAGCATTCTTTTGACAGAGCAGTTTTGAAACACTCTTTTTGTGGAATCTGCAAGTGGATATTTGTCTAGCTTTGAGGATTTCGTTGGAAACGGGATTACATATAAAAAGCAGACAGCAGCATTCTCAGAAACTTATTTGTGATGTGCGCCCTCAACTAACAGTGTTGAAGCTTTATTTTGATAGAGCAGTTTTGAAACACTCTTTTTGTAATATCTGCAAGAGAATATTTGGATAGCTTTGAGGATTTCGTTGGAAACGGGATTGTCTTCATATAAACTCTAGAAAGAAGCATTCTCAGAAGCTTCATTGGGATGTTTCAATTGAAGTCACAGTGTTGAACAGTCTCTTTCATAGAGCAAGTTTGAAACACTCTTTTTGTAGTATCTGGAAGTGGACATTTGGAGCGCTCTCAGGACTACGGTGAAAAAGGAAGTATCTTCCAATAAAAGCTAGATAGAAGCAATGTCAGAAACTTTTTCATGATGTATCTACTCAGCTAACAGAGTTGAACCATTCTTTTGAGAGAGCAGGTTTGAAACACTCTTTTTGTAAAATCTGCAAGAGGATATTTGGATAGCTTTGAGGATTTCGTTGGAAACGGGATTGTCTTCATATAAACTCTAGACAGAAGCATTCCCAGAAACTTCTTTGTGAAGTTTGCATTCAAGTCACAGAGTTGAACATTCCCTTTCATAGAGCAGGTTTGAAACACTCTTTTTGTAGTATCTGTATGTGGACATTTGGAGCGCTTTCAGGCCTATGGTGAAAAAGGAAATATCTTCCCCTGAAAACTAGACAGAAGCATTCTCAGAATCTTATTTGTGATGTGCGCCCTAAACTAACAGTGTTGAAGCTTTCTTTTGATAGAGCAGTTTTCAAACACTCTTTTTGTAAAATCTGCAAGAGGATATTTGGATAGCTTTGAGGATTTCGTTGGAAACGGGATTGTCTTCATATAAACTCTAGACAGAAGCATTCTCAGAAGCTTCATTGGGATGTTTCAATTGAAGTTGCAGTGTTGAACAGTCCCTTTCATAGAGCAGGTTTGAAACACTCTTTTTGTAGTATCTGGATGTGGACATTTGGAGCGCTTTCAGGCCTATGGTTTAAAAGGAAATATCTTCCCCTGAAAACTAGACAGAAGCATTCTCAGAAACTTATTTGTGATGTGCGCCCTCAACTAACAGTGTTGAAGCTTTCTTTTGATAGAGCAGATTTGAAACACTCTTTTTGTGGAATCTGCAAGTGGATGTTTGTCTAGCTTTGAGGATTTCGTTGGAAACGGGATTACATATAAAAAGCAGACAGCAGCATTCTCAGAAACTTATTTGTGATGTGCGCCCTCAACTAACAGTGTTGAAGCTTTCTTTTGATAGAGCAGTTTTGAAACACTCTTTTTGTAATATCTGCAAGAGGATATTTGGATAGCTTTGAGGATTTCGTTGGAAACGGGATTAATTATACAAAGCAGACAGCAGCATTCTCAGAAATTTCTTTCGGATGTTTCAATTGAAGTCACAGTGTTGAACATTCCCTGTCATAGAGCAGGTTTGAAACACTCTTTTTGTAGTATCTGGAAGTGGACATTTGGAGCGCTCTCAGGACTACAGTGAAAAAGGAAATATCTTCCAATAAAAGCTAGATAGAAGCAATGTCAGAAACTTTTTCATGATGTATCTACTCAGCTAACAGAGTTGAACCTTTCTTTTGAGAGAGCAGTTTTGAAACACTCTTTTTGTGGAATCTGCAAGTGGATATTTGTCTAGCATTGAGGATTTCGTTGGAAACGGGATTACATATAAAAAGCAGACAGCAGCATTCCCAGAAACTTCTTTGTGATGTTTGCATTTAAGTGACAGAGTTGAACATTCCCTTTCATAGAGCAGGTTTGAAACACTCTTTTTGTAGTATCTGGATATGGAAATTTGGAGCGCTTTCAGGCCTATGGTGAAAAAGGAAATATCTTCCCCTGAAAACTAGACAGAAGTAGTCTCAGAAACTTATTTGTGATGTGCGCCCTCAACTAACAGTGTTGAAGCTTTCTTTTCACAGAGCCGTTTTGAAACACGCTTTTTGTAAAATCTGCAAGAGGATATTTGGATAGCTTTGAGGATTTCGTTGGAAACGGGATTGTCTGCATATAAACTCTAGACAGAAGCATTCTCAGAAGCGTCATTGGGATGTTTCAATTGAAGTCACAGTGTTGAACAGTCCCTTTCATAGAGCAGGTTTGAAACACTCTTTTTGTAGTATCTGGATGTGGACATTTGGAGCGCTTTCAGGCCTATGGTTTAAAAGGAAATATCTTCCCCTGAAAACTAGACAGAAGCATTCTCAGAAACTTATTTGTGATGTGCGCCCTCAACTAACAGTGTTGAACCTTTCTTTTGATAGAGCAGTTTTGAAACACTCTTTTTGTAATATCTGCAAGAGGATATTTGGATAGCTTTGAGGATTTCGTTGGAAACGGGATTACATATAAAAAGCAGACAGCAGCATTCTCAGTAAACTTATTTGTGATGTGCGCCCTCAACTAACAGTGTTGAACCTTTCTTTTGATAGAGCAGTTTTGAAACACTCTTTTTGTAATATCTGCAAGAGGATATTTGGATAGCTTTGAGGATTTCGTTGGAAACGGGATTGTCTTCATATAAACTCTAGACAGAAGCATTCTCAGTAACTTCATTGGGATGTTTCAATTGAAGTCACAGTGTTGAACAGTCCCTTTCATAGAGCAGGTTTGAGACACTCTTTTTGTGGTATCTGGAAGTGGACATTTGGAGCGCTGTCAGGACTACGGTGAAAAAGGAAATATCTTCCAATAAAAGCTAGATAGAAGCAATGTCAGAAACTTTTTCATGATGTATCCACTCAGCTAACAGAGTTGAACCTTTCTTTTGAGAGAGCAGTTTTGAAACACTCTTTTTGTGGAATCTGCAAGTGGATATTTGTCTAGCTTTGAGGATTTCGTTGGAAACGGGATTACATATAAAAAGCAGACAGCAGCATTCCCAGAAACTTCTTTGTGATATTTGCATTCAAGTCACAGAGTTGAACATTCCCTTTCATAGAGCAGGTTTGAAACACTCTTTTTGTAGTATCTGGATGTGGACATTTGGAGCGCTTTCAGGCCTATGGTGAAAACGGAAATATCTTCCCCTGAAAACTAGACAGAAGCATTCTCAGAAACTTATTTGTGATGTGCGCCCTCAACTAACAATGTTGAACCTTTCTGTTGATAGAGTAGTTTTGAAACACTCTTCTTGTAAAATCTGCAAGAGGATATTTGGATAGCTTTGAGGATTTCGTTGGAAACGGGATTGTCTTCATATTAACCCTAGACAGTAGCATTCTCAGAAGCTTCATTGGGATGTTTCAATTGAAGTCACAGTGTTGAACAGTCCCTTTCATAGAGCAGGTTTGAAACACTCTTTTTGTAGTATCTGGATGTGGACATTTGGAGCGCTTTCAGGCCTATGGTTTAAAAGGAAATATCTTCCCCTGAAAACTAGACAGAAGCATTCTCAGAAACTTATTTGTGATGTGCGCCCTCAACTAACAGTGTTGAAGCTTTCTTTTGATAGAGCAGTTTTGAAACACTCTTTTTGTGGAATCTGCAAGTGGATATTTGTCTAGCTTTGAGGATTTCGTTGGAAACGGGATTACATATAAAAAGCAGACAGCAGCATTCTCAGTAAACTTATTTGTGATGTGCGCCCTCAACTAACAGTGTTGAACCTTTCTTTTGATAGAGCAGTTTTGAAACACTCTTTTTGTAATATCTGCAAGAGGATATTTGGATAGCTTTGAGGATTTCGTTGGAAACGGGATTGTCTTCATATAAACTCTAGACAGAAGCATTCTCAGAAGCTTCATTGGGATGTTTCAATTGAAGTCACAGTGTTGAACAGTCCCTTTCATAGAGCAGGTTTGAAACACTCTTTTTGTAGTATCTGGAAGTGGACATTTGGAGAGATCTCAGGAATACGGTGATAAAGGAAATATCTTCCAATAAAAGCTAGATAGAAGCAATGTCAGAAACTTTTTCATGATATATCTACTCAGCTAACAGAGTTGAACCTTTCTTTTGAGAGAGCAGTTTTGAAACACTCTTTTTGTGGAATCTGGAAGTGGATATTTGTCTAGCTTTGAGGATTTCGTTGGAAACGGGATTACATATAAAAAGCAGACAGCAGCATTCCCAGAAACTTCTTTGTGATGTTTGCATTCAAGTCACAGAGTTGAACATTCCCTTTCATAGAGCAGGTTTGAAACACTCTTTTTGTAGTATCTGGAAGTGGACATTTGGAGAGATCTCAGGAATACGGTGATAAAGGAAATATCTTCCAATAAAAGCTAGATAGAAGCATTCTCAGAATCTTATTTGTGATGTGCGCCCTCAACTAACAGAGTTGAAGCTTTCTTTTGATAGAGCAGTTTTGAAACACTCTTTTTGTAAAATCTGCAAGAGGATATTTGGATAGCTTTGAGGATTTCGTTGGAAACGGGATTGTCTTCATATAAACTCTAGACAGAAGCATTCTCAGAAGCTTCATTGGGATGTTTCAATTGAAGTCACAGTGTTGAACAGTCCCTTTGATAGAGCAGGTTTGAAACACTGTTTTTGTAGTATCTGGATGTGGACATTTGCAGCGCTTTCAGGCATAAGGTGAAAAAGGAAATATCTTCCCCTGAAAACTAGACAGAAGCATTCTCAGAAACTTATTTGTGATGTGCGCCCTCAACTAACAGTGTTGAAGCTTTCTTTTGATAGAGCAGTTTTGAAACACTCTTTTTGTGGAATCTGCAAGTGGATATTTGTCTAGCTTTGAGGATTTCGTTGGAAACGGGAATACATATAAAAAGCAGACAGCAGCATTCCCAGAATCTTCTTTGTGATGTTTGCATTCAAGTCACAGAGTTGAACATTCCCTTTCATAGAGCAGGTTTGAAACACTCTTTTTGAAGTATCTGGATGTGGACATTTGGAGCGCTTTCAGGCCTATGGTGAAAAAGGAAATATCTTCCCCTGAAAACTACACAGAAGCATTCTCAGAAGCTTCATTGGGATGTTTCAATTGAAGTCACAGTGTTGAACAGTCCCTTTCATAGAGCAGGTTTGAAACACTCTTTTTGTAGTATCTGGAAGTGGACATTTGGAGCGCTCTCAGGACTCCGGTGATAAAGGAAATATCTTCCAATAAAAGCTAGATAGAAGCAATGTGAGAAACTTTTTCAAGATGTATCTACTCAGCTAACAGAGTTGAACCTTTCCTTTGAGAGAGCAGTTTTGAAACACTCTTTTTGTGGAATCTGCAAGTGGATATTTGTCTAGCTTTGAGGATTTCGTTGGAAACGGGATTACATATAAAAAGCAGACAGCAGCATTCCCAGAATCTTGTTTGTGATGTTTGCATTCAAGTCACAGAGTTGTACATTCCCTTTCAGAGAGCAGGTTTGAAACACTCTTTTTATAGTATCTGGATGTGGACATTTGGAGCGCTTTCAGGCCTATGGTGAAAAAGGAAATATCTTCTCCTGAAAACTAGACAGAAGCATTCTCAGAATCTTATTTGTGATGTGCGCCCTCAACTAACAGTGTTGAAGCTTTCTTTTGATAGAGCAGTTTTGAAACACTCTTTTTGTAAAATCTGCAAGAGGATATTTGGATAGCTTTGAGGATTTCGTTGGAAACGGGATTGTCTTCATATAAACTCTAGACAGAAGCATTCTCAGAAGCTTCATTGGGATGTTTCAATTGAAGTCACAGTGTTGAACAGTCCCTTTCATAGAGCAGGTTTGAAACACTCTTTTTGTAGTATCTGGATGTGGACATTTGGAGCGCTTTCAGGCCTATGGTGAAAAAGGAAATATCTTCCCCTGAAAACTAGACAGAAGCATTCTCAGAAACTTATTTGTGATGTGCGCCCTCAACTAACAGTGTTGAAGCTTTCTCTTGATAGAGCAGTTTTGAAACACTCTTTTTGTGGAATCTGCACGTGGATATTTGTCTAGCTTTGAGGATTTCGTTGGAAACGGGATTACATATAAAAAGCAGACAGCAGCATTCTCAGTAAACTTATTTGTGATGTGCGCCCTCAACTAACAGTGTTGAACCTTTCTTTTGATAGAGCAGTTTTGAAACACTCTTTTTGTAATATCTGCAAGAGGATATTTGGATAGCTTTGAGGATTTCGTTGGAAACGGGATTGTCTTCATATAAACTCTAGACAGAAGCATTCTCAGAAGCTTCATTGGGATGTTTCAATTGAAGTCACAGTGT
Source organism: Homo sapiens (assembly GCF_000001405.40). Lineage (NCBI taxonomy): Eukaryota > Metazoa > Chordata > Mammalia > Primates > Hominidae > Homo > Homo sapiens. The sequence goes on from NC_000002.12 coordinate 94,003,528, forward strand.
TGAACAGTCCCTTTCATAGAGCAGGTTTGAAACACTCTTTTTGTAGTATCTGGAAGTGGACATTTGGAGCGCTCTCAGGACTACGGTGAAAAAGGAAGTATCTTCCAATAAAAGCTAGATAGAAGCAATGTCAGAAAATTTTTCATTATGTATCTACTCAGCTAACAGAATTTAACCTTTCTTTTGAGAGAGAAGTTTTGAAACACTCTTTTTGTGGAATCTGCAAGTGGATATTTGTCTAGGTTTGAGGATTTCGTTGGAAACCGTATTACATATGAAAAGCAGACAGCAGCATTCCCAGAAACTTCTTTGTCATGTTTGCATTCAAGTCACAGAGTTGAACATTCCCTTTCATAGAGCAGGTTTGAAACACTCTTTTTGTAGTATCTGGATGTGGACATTTGGAGCGCTTTCAGGCCTATGGTGAAAAAGGAAATATCTTCCCCTGAAAACTAGACAGAAGCATTCTCAGAAACTTATTTGTGATGTGCGCCCTCAACTAACAGTGTTGAAGCTTTCTTTTGATAGAGCAGTTTTGAAACACTCTTTTTGTGGAATCTGCAAGTGGATATTTGTCTAGCTTTGAGGATTTCGTTGGAAACGGGATTACATATAAAAAGCAGACAGCAGCATTCCCAGAATCTTGTTTGTGATGTTTACATTCAAGACACAGAGTTGAACATTCCCTTTCAGAGAGCAGGTTTGAAACACTCTTTTTGTAGTATCTGGATGTGGACATTTGGAGCGCTTTCAGGCCTATGGTGAAAAAGGAAATATCTTCCCCTGAAAACTAGACAGAAGCATTCTCAGAATCTTATTTGTGATGTGCGCCCTCAACTAACAGTGTTGAAGCTTTCTTTTGATAGAGCAGTTTTGAAACACTCTTTTTGTAAAATCTGCAAGAGGATATTTGGATAGCTTTGAGGATTTCGTTGAAAACGGGATTGTCTTCATATAAACTCTAGACAGAAGCATTCTCAGAAGCGTCATTGGGATGTTTCAATTGAAGTCACAGTGTTGAACAGTCCCTTTCATAGAGCAGGTTTGAAACACTCTTTTTGTAGTATCTGGATGTGGACATTTGGAGCGCTTTCAGGCCTATGGTTTAAAAGGAAATATCTTCCCCTGAAAACTAGACAGAAGCATTCCCAGTAACTTCTTTGTGATGTTTGCATTCAAGTCACAGTGTTGAACATTCCATTTCATAGAGCAGGTTTGAAACACTCTTTTTGTGGAATCTGCAAGTGGATATTTGTCTAGCTTTGAGGATTTCGTTGGAAACGGGATTACATATAAAAAGCAGACAGCAGCATTCTCAGTAAACTTATTTGTGATGTGCGCCCTCAACTAACAGTGTTGAACCTTTCTTTTGATAGAGCAGTTTTGAAACACTCTTTTTGTAATATCTGCAAGAGGATATTTGGATAGCTTTGAGGATTTCGTTGGAAACGGGATTGTCTTCATATAAACTCTAGACAGAAGCATTCTCAGAAGCTTCATTGGGATGTTTTAATTGAAGTCACAGTGTTGAACAGTCCCTTTCATAGAGCAGGTTTGAAACACTCTTTTTGTAGTATCTGGAAGTGGACATTTGGAGAGATCTCAGGAATACGGTGTTAAAGGAAATATCTTCCAATAAAAGCTAGATAGAAGCAATGTCAGAAACTTTTTCATGATGTATCTACTCAGCTAACAGAGTTGAACCTTTCCTTTGAGAGAGCAGTTTTGAAACACTCTTTTTGTGGAATCTGCAAGTGGATATTTGTCTAGCTTTGAGGATTTCGTTGGAAACGGGATTACATATAAAAAGCAGACAGCAGCATTCCCAGAATCTTCTTTGTGATGTTTGCATTCAAGTCACAGAGTTGAACATTCCCTTTCATAGAGCAGGTTTGAAACACTCTTTTTGTAGTATCTGGAAGTGGACATTTGGAGCGCTCTCAGGACTCCGGTGATAAAGGAAATATCTTCCAATAAAAGCTAGATAGAAGCATTCTCAGAAACTTATTTGTGATGTGCGCCCTCAACTAACAGTGTTGAACCTTTCTTTTGATAGAGCAGTTTTGAAACACTCTTTTTGTAAAATCTGCAAGAGGATATTTGGATAGCTTTGAGGATTTCGTTGGAAACGGGATTGTCTTCATATACAATCTAGACAGAAGCATTCTCAGAAGCTTCATTGGGATGTTTCAATTGAAGTCACAGTGTTGAACAGTCCCTTTGATAGAGCAGGTTTGAAACACTCTTTTTGTAGTATCTGGATGTGGACATTTGCAGCGCTTTCAGGCATAAGGTGAAAAAGGAAATATCTTCCCCTGAAAACTAGACAAAAGCATTCTCAGAAACTTATTTGTGATGTGAGCCCTCAACTAACAGTGTTGAACCTTTCTTTTGATAGAGCAGTTTTGAAACACTCTTTTTGTAATATCTGCAAGAGGATATTTGGATAGCTTTGAGGATTTCGTTGGAAACGGGATTACATATAAAAAGCAGACAGCAGCATTCTCAGAATCTTATTTGTGATTAGCGCCCTCAACTAACAGTGTTGAAGCTTTCTTTTGATAGAGCAGTTTTGAAACACTCTTTTCGTAAAATCTGCAAGAGGATATTTGGATAGCTTTGAGGATTTCGTTGGAAACGGGATTGTCTTCATATAAACTCTAGACAGAAGCATTCTCAGAAGCTTCATTGGGATGTTTCAATTGAAGTCACAGTGTTGAACAGTCCCTTTCATAGAGCAGGTTTGAAACACTCTTTTTGTAGTATCTGGAAGTGGACATTTGGAGAGTTCTCAGGAATACGGTGATAAAGGAAATATCTTCCAATAAAAGCTAGATAGAAGCAATGTCAGAAACTTTTTCATGATGTATCTACTCAGCTAACAGAGTTGAACCTTTCTTTTGAGAGAGCAGTTTTGAAACACTCTTTTTGTGGAATCTGCAAGTGGATATTTGTCTAGCTTTGAGGATTTCGTTGGAAACGGGATTACATATAAAAAGCAGACAGCAGCATTCCCAGCAATCTTCTTTGTGATGTTTGCATTCAAGTCACAGAGTTGAACATTCCCTTTCATAGAGCAGGTTTGAAACACTCTTTTTATAGTATCTGGATGTGGACATTTGGAGCGCTTTCAGGCCTGTGGTGAAAAAGGAAATATCTTCTCCTGAAAACTAGACAGAAGCATTCTCAGAATCTTATTTGTGATGTGCGCCCTCAACTAACAGTGTTGAAGCTTTCTTTTGATAGAGCAGTTTTGAAACACTCTTTTTGTAATATCTGCAAGAGGGTATTTGGATAGCTTTGAGGATTTCGTTGGAAACGGGATTGTCTTCACATAAACTCTAGACAGAAGCATTCTCAGAAGCGTCATTGGGATGTTTCAATTGAAGTCACAGTGTTGAACATTCCCTTTCATAGAGCAGGTTTGAAACACTCTTTTTGTAGTATCTGGATGTGGACATTTGGAGCGCTTTCAGGCCTATGGTTTAAAAGGAAATATCTTCCCCTGAAAACTAGACAGAAGCATTCTCAGAAACTTATTTGTGATGTGCGCCCTCAACTAACAGTGTTGAAGCTTTCTTTTGATAGAGCAGTTTTGAAACACTCTTTTTGTGGAATCTGCAAGTGGATATTTGTCTAGCTTTGAGGATTTCGTTGGAAACGGGATTACATATAAAAAGCAGACAGCAGCATTCTCAGAAACTTATTTGTGATGTGCGCCCTCAACTAACAGTGTTGAAGCTTTCTTTTGATAGAGCAGTTTTGAAACACTCTTTTTGTAATATCTGCAAGAGGATATTTGGATAGCTTTGAGGATTTCGTTGGAAACGGGATTAATTATACAAAGCAGACAGCAGCATTCTCAGAAGCTTCATTGGGATGTTTCAATTGAAGTCACAGTGTTGAACAGTTCCTTTCATAGAACACGTTTGAAACACTCTTTTTGTAGTATCTGGAAGTGGACATTTGGAGCGCTCTCAGGACTACGGTGAAAAAGGAAATATCTTCCAATAAAAGCTACATAGAAGCAATGTCAGAAACTTTTTCATGACGTATCTACTCAGCTAACAGAGTTGAAACTTTCCTTTGAGAGAGCAGTTTTGAAACACTCTTTTTGTGGAATCTGCAAGTGGATATTTGTCTAGCTTTGAGGATTTCGTTGGAAACGGGATTACATATAAAAAGCAGACAGCAGCATTCCCAGGAAACTTCTTTGTGATGTTTGCATTCAAGTCACAGAGTTGAACATTCCCTTTCATAGAGCAGGTTTGAAACACTCTTTTTGTAATATCTGGTTGTGGACATTTGGAGCGCTTTCAGGCCTATGGTGAAAAAGGAAATATCTTCCCCTGAAAACTAGACAGAAGCATTCTCAGAAACTTATTTGTGATGTGCGCCCTCAACTAACAGTGTTGAACCTTTCTTTTGATAGAGCAGATTTGAAACACTCTTTTTGTAATATCTGCAAGAGGATATTTGGATAGCTTTGAGGATTTCTTTGGAAACGGGATTGTCTTCATATAAACTCTAGACAGAAGCATTCTCAGAAGCGTCATTGGGATGTTTCAATTGAAGTCACAGTGTTGAACATTCCCTTTCATAGAGCAGGTTTGAAACACTCTTTTTGTAGTATCTGGATGTGGACATTTGGAGCGCTTTCAGGCCTATGGTTTAAAAGGAAGTATCTTCCCCTGAAAACTAGACAGAAGCATTCTCAGAAACTTATTTGTGATGTGCGCCCTCAACTAACAGTGTTGAAGCTTTCTTTTGATAGAGCAGTTTTGAAACACTCTTTTTGTGGAATCTGCAAGTGGATATTTGTCTAGCTTTGAGGATTTCGTTGGAAACGGGATTACATATAAAAAGCAGACAGCAGCATTCTCAGAAACTTATTTGTGATGTGCGCCCTCAACTAACAGTGTTGAAGCTTTATTTTGATAGAGCAGTTTTGAAACACTCTTTTTGTAATATCTGCAAGAGAATATTTGGATAGCTTTGAGGATTTCGTTGGAAACGGGATTGTCTTCATATAAACTCTAGAAAGAAGCATTCTCAGAAGCTTCATTGGGATGTTTCAATTGAAGTCACAGTGTTGAACAGTCCCTTTCATAGAGCAGGTTTGAAACACTCTTTTTGTAGTATCTGGAAGTGGACATTTGGAGAGATCTCAGGAATACGGTGATAAAGGAAATATCTTCCAATAAAAGCTAGATAGAAGCAATGTCAGAAACTTTTTCATGATGTATCTACTCAGCTAACAGAGTTGAACCTTTCTTTTGAGAGAGCAGTTTTGAAACACTCTTTTTGTGGAATCTGCAAGTGGATATTTGTCTAGCTTTGAGGATTTCGTTGGAAACGGGATTACATATAAAAAGCAGACAGCAGCATTCCCAGTAACTTCTTTGTGACGTTTGCATTCAAGTCACAGAGTTGAACATTCCCTTTCATAGAGCAGGTTTGAAACACTCTTTTTGTAGTATCTGGATGTGGACATTTGGAGCGCTTTCAGGCCTATGGTGAAAAAGGAAATATCTTCCCCTGAAAACTGGACAGAAGAATTCTCAGAATCTTATTTGTGATGTGCGCCATCAACTAACAGTGTTGAAGCTTTCTTTTGATAGAGCAGTTTTGAAACACTCTTTTTGTAAAATCTGCAAGAGGATATTTGGATAGCTTTGAGGATTTCGTTGGAAACGGGATTGTCTTCATATAAACTCTAGACAGAAGCATTCTCAGAAGCGTCATTGGGATGTTTCAATTGAAGTCACAGTGTTGAACATTCCCTTTCATAGAGCAGGTTTGAAACACTCTTTTTGTAGTATCTGGATGTGGACATTTGGAGCGCTTTCAGGCCTATGGTTTAAAAGGAAATATCTTCCCCTGAAAACTAGACAGAAGCATTCTCAGAAACTTATTTGTGATGTGCGCCCTCAACTAACAGTGTTGAAGCTTTCTTTTGATAGAGCAGTTTTGAAACACTCTTTTTGTGGAATCTGCAAGTGGATATTTGTCTAGCTTTGAGGATTTCGTTGGAAACGGGATTACATATAAAAAGCAGACAGCAGCATTCTCAGAATCTTATTTGTGATGTGCGCCCTCAACGAACAGTGTTGAAGCTTTCTTTTGATAGAGCAGTTTTGAAACACTCTTTTTGTAATATCTGCAAGAGGATATTTGGATAGCTTTGAGGATTTCGTTGGAAACGGGATTGTCTTCATATAAACTCTAGACAGAAGCATTCTCAGAAGCTTCATTGGGATGTTTCAATTGAAGTCACAGTGTTGAACAGTCCCTTTCATAGAGCAGGTTTGAAACACTCTTTTTGTAGTATCTGGAAGTGGACATTTGGAGCGCTCTCAGGACTACGGTGAAAAAGGAAATATCTTCCAATAAAAGCTACATAGAAGCAATGTCAGAAACTTTTTCATGATGTATCTACTCAGCTAACAGAGTTGAACCTTTGTTTTGAGAGAGCCGTTTTGAAACACTCTTTTTGTGGAATCTGCAAGTGGATATTTGTCTAGCTTTGAGGATTTCGTTGGAAACGGGATTACATATAAAAAGCAGACAGCAGCATTCCCAGAAACTTCTTTGTGATGTTTGCATTCAAGTCACCGAGTTGAACATTCCCTTTCATAGAGCAGGTTTGAAACACTCTTTTTGTAGTATCTGGATGTGGACATTTGGAGCGCTTTCAGTCCTATGGTGAAAAAGGAAATATCTTCCCCTGAAAACTAGACAGAAGCATTCTCAGAAACTTATTTGTGATGTGCGCCCTCAACTAACAGTGTTGAACCTTTCTTTTGATAGAGCAGTTTTGAAACACTCTTTTTGTAATATCTGCAAGAGGATATTTGGATAGCTTTGAGGATTTCTTTGGAAACGGGATTGTCTTCATATAAACTCTAGACAGAAGCATTCTCAGAAGCATCATGGGGATGTTTCAATTGAAGTCACAATGTTGAACAGTCCCTTTCATAGAGCAGGTTTGAAACACTCTTTTTGTAGTATCTGGATGTGGACATTTGAGCGCTTTCAGGCCTATGGTGAAAAAGGAAATATCTTCCCCTGAAAACTAGACAGAAGCATTCTCAGAAACTTATTTGTGATGTGCGCCCTCAACTAACAGTGTTGAAGCTTTCTTTTGATAGAGCAGTTTTGAAACACTCTTTTTGTGGAATCTGCAAGTGGATGTTTGTCTAGCTTTGAGGATTTCGTTGGAAACGGGATTACATATAAAAAGCAGACAGCAGCATTCTCAGCAAACTTATTTGTGATGTGCGCCCTCAACTAACAGTGTGGAACTTTTCTTTTGATAGAGCAGTTTTGAAACACTCTTTTTGTAAAATCTGCAAGAGGATATTTGGATAGCTTTGAGGATTTCGTTGGAAACGGGATTGTCTTCATATAGAATCTAGACAGAAGCATTCTCAGAAGCTTCATTGGGATGTTTCAATTGAAGTCACAGTGTTGAACAGTCCCTTTCATAGAGCAGGTTTGAAACACTCTTTTTGTAGTATCTGGAAGTGGACATTTGGAGCGCTCTCAGGACTGCGGTGAAAAAGGAAATATCTTCCAATAAAAGCTACATAGAAGCAATGTCAGAAACTTTTTCATGATGTATCTACTCAGCTAACAGAGTTGAACCTTTCCTTTGAGAGAGCAGTTTTGAAACACTCTTTTTGTGGAATCTGCAAGTGGATATTTGTCTAGCTTTGAGGATTTCGTTGGAAACGGGATTACATATAAAAAGCAGACAGCAGCATTCCCAGTAACTTCTTTGTGATGTTTGCATTCAAGTCACAGAGTTGAACATTCCCTTTCATACAGCAGGTTTGAAACACTCTTTTTGTAGTATCTGGATGTGGACATTTGGAGCGCTTTCAGGCCTATGGTGAAAAAGGAAATATCTTCCCCTGAAAACTAGACAGAAGCATTCTCAGAATCTTATTTGTGATGTGCGCCCTCAACTAACAGAGTTGAAGCTTTCTTTTGATAGAGCAGTTTTGAAACACTCTTTTTGTAAAATCTGCAAGAGGATATTTGGATAGCTTTGAGGATTTCGTTGGAAACGGGATTGTCTTCATATAAACTCTAGACAGAAGCATTCTCAGAAGCTTCATTGGGATGTTTCAATTGAAGTCACAGTGTTGAACAGTCCCTTTCATAGAGCAGGTTTGAAACACTCTTTTTGTAGTATCTGGATGTGGACATTTGGAGCGCTTTCAGGCCTATGGTGAAAAAGGAAATATCTTCCCCTGAAAACTAGACAGAAGCATTCTCAGAAACTTATTTGTGATGTGCGCCCTCAACTAACAGTGTTGAACCTTTCTTTTGATAGAGCAGTTTTGAAACACTCTTTTTGTAATATCTGCAAGAGGATATTTGGATAGCTTTGAGGATTTCGTTGGAAACGGGATTAATTATAAAAAGCAGACAGCAGCATTCTCAGAAACTTATTTGTGATGTGCGCCCTCAACTAACAGTGTTGAAGCTTTATTTTGATAGAGCAGTTTTGAAACACTCTTTTTGTAATATCTGCAAGAGAATATTTGGATAGCTTTGAGGATTTCGTTGGAAACGGGATTGTCTTCATATAAACTCTAGAAAGAAGCATTCTCAGAAGCTTCATTGGGATGTTTCAACTGAAGTCACAGTGTTGAACAGTCCCTTTCATATAGCAGGTTTGAAACACTCTTTTTGTAGTATCTGGAAGTGGACATTTGGAGCGTTCTCAGGACTACGGTGAAAAAGGAAATATCTTCCAATAAAAGCTAGATAGAAGCAATGTCAGAAACTTTTTCATGATGTATCTACTCAGCTAACAGAGTTGAACCTTTTTTTTGAGAGAGCAGTTTTGAAACACTCTTTTTGTTGGATCTGCAGGTGGATATTTGTCTAGCTTTGAGGATTTCGTTGGAAACGGGATTACATATAAAAAGCAGACAGCCAGCATTCCCAGTAAACTTCTTTGTGAAGTTTGCATTCAAGTCACAGAGTTGAACATTCCCTTTCATAGAGCAGGTTTGAAACACTCTTTTTGTAGTATCTGTATGTGGACATTTGGAGCGCTTTCAGGCCTATGGTGAAAAAGGAAATATCTTCCCCTGAAAACTAGACAGAAGCATTCTCAGAATCTTATTTGTGATGTGCACCCTCAACTAACAGTGTTGAAGCTTTCTTTTGATAGAGCAGTTTTGAAACACTCTTTTCGTAAAATCTGCAAGAGGATATTTTGATAGCTTTCAGGATTTCGTTGGAAACGGGATTGTCTTCATATAAAATCTAGACAGAAGCATTCTCAGAAGCTTCATTGGGATGTTTCAATTGAAGTCACAGTGTTGAACAGTCCCTTTCATAGAGCAGGTTTGAAACACTCTTTTTGTAGTATCTGGATGTGGACATTTGGAGCGCTTTCAGGCATATGGTGAAAAAGGAAATATCTTCCCCTGAAAACTAGACAGAAGCATTCTCAGAAACTTATTTGTGATGTGCGCCCTCAACTAACAGTGTTGAAGCTTTCTTTTGATAGAGCAGTTTTGAAACACTCTTTTTGTGGAATCTGCAAGTGGATATTTGTCTAGCTTTGAGGATTTCGTTGGAAACGGGATTACATATAAAAAGCAGACAGCAGCATTCTCAGTAAACTTATTTGTGATGTGCGCCCTCAACTAACAGTGTTGAACCTTTCTTTTGATAGAGCAGTTTTGAAACACTCTTTTTGTAATATCTGCAAGAGGATATTTGGATAGCTTTGAGGATTTCGTTGGAAACGGGATTGTCTTCATATAAACTCTAGACAGAAGCATTCTCAGAAGCTTCATTGGGATGTTTCAATTGAAGTCACAGTGTTGAACAGTCCCTTTCATAGAACAGGTTTGAAACACTCTTTTTGTAGTATCTGGAAGTGGACATTTCGAGCGCTCTCAGGACTGCGGTGAAAAAGGAAATATCTTCCAATAAAAGCTACATAGAAGCAATGTCAGAAAATTTTTCATGATGTATCTACTCAGCTAACAGAGTTGAAGCTTTCTTTTGACAGAGCAGTTTTGAAACACTCTTTTGTGGAATCTGCAAGTGGATATTTGTCTAGCTTTGAGGATTTCGTTGGAAACGGGATTACATATAAAAAGCAGACAGCAGCATTCCCAGTAATCTTCTTTGTGATGTTTGCATTCAAGTCACAGAGTTGAACATTCCCTTTCATAGAGCACGTTTGAAACACTCTTTTTGTAATATCTGGATGTGGACATTTGGAGCGCTTTCAGGCCTATGGTGAAAAAGGAAATATCTTCCCCTGAAAACTAGACAGAAGCATTCTCAGAAACTTATTTGTGATGTGCGCCCTCAACTAACAGTGTTGAAGCTTTCTTTTGATAGAGCAGTTTTGAAACACTCTTTTTGTAATATCTGCAAGAGGATATTTGGATAGCTTTGAGGATTTCGTTGGAAACGGGATTGTCTTCATATAAACTCTAGACAGAAGCATTCTCAGAAGCGTCATTGGGATGTTTCAATTGAAGTCACAGTGTTGAACATTCCCTTTCATAGAGCAGGTTTGAAACACTCTTTTTGTAGTATCTGGATGTGGACATTTGGAGCGCTTTCAGGCCTATGGTTTAAAAGGAAATATCTTCCCCTGAAAACTAGACAGAAGCATTCTCAGAAACTTATTTGTGATGTGCGCCCTCAACTAACAGTTTTGAAGCATTCTTTTGATAGAGCAGTTTTGAAAAACTCTTTTTGTGGAATCTGCAAGTGGATATTTGTCTAGCTTTGAGGATTTCGTTGGAAACGGGATTACATATAAAAAGCAGACAGCAGCATTCTCAGAAACTTATTTGTGATGTGCGCCCTCAACTAACAGTGTTGAAGCTTTCTTTTGATAGAGCAGTTTTGAAACACTCTTTTTGTAATATCTGCAAGAGGATATTTGGATAGCTTTGAGGATTTCGTTGGAAACGGGATTAATTATACAAAGCAGACAGCTTTTTGAGACAGAGTCATGCTCTGTTGCCCAGGCTGGAGTGCAGTATCGCAATCTCGGCTCACTGCAACCTCTACCTCCCGGGTTCAAGCGATTCTCCTGCCTCAGCTTCCTGAGTAGCTAGGATTACGGGTGCACACCACCTTGCCCAGCCAATTTTTTGTATTTTTAGTAGAGTTGGGAGGACTACGGTGAAAAAGGAAGTATCTTCCAATAAAAGCTAGATAGAAG
>NC_000002.12:94014845-94090557 GCF_000001405.40 Homo sapiens
AGCAATGTCAGAAACTTTTTCATGATGTATCTACTCAGCTAACAGAGTTGAACCTTTCTTTTGAGAGAGCAGTTTTGAAACACTCTTTTTGTGGAATCTGCAAGTGGATATTTGTCTAGCTTTGAGGATTTCGTTGGAAACGGGATTACATATAAAAAGCAGACAGCCAGCATTCCCAGTAACTTCTTTGTGAGGTTTGCATTCAAGTGACAGTAGTTGAACATTCCCTTTCATAGAGCAGGTTTGAAACACTCTTTTTGTAGTATCTGGATGTGGACATTTTGAGAGATCACAGGAATACGGTGATAAAGGAAATATCTTCCAATAAAAGCTAGATAGAAAGCATTCTCAGCAAACTTATTTGTGATGTGCGCCCTCAACTAACAGTGTTGAAGCTTTCTTTTGATAGAGCAGTTTTGAAACACTCTTTTTGTAAAATCTGCAAGAGGATATTTGGATAGCTTTGAGGATTTCGTTGGAAACGGGATTGTCTTCATATAAACTCTAGACAGAAGCATTCCCAGTAACTTCTTTGTGATGTTTGCATTCAAGTCACAGAGTTGAACATTCCCTTTCATAGAGCAGGTTTGAAACACTTTTTTTGTAGTATCTGGATGTGGACATTTGGATCGCTTTCAGGCATACGGTGAAAAAGGAAATATCTTCCAATAAAAGCTACATAGAAGCAATGTCAGAAACTTTTTCATGATGTATCTACTCAGCTAACAGAGTTGAACCTTTCTTTTGAGAGAGCAGTTTTGAAACACTCTTTTTGTGGAATCTGCAAGTGGATATTTGTCTAGCTTTGAGGATTTCGTTGGAAACGGGATTACATATAAAAAGCAGACAGCAGCATTCCCAGAAACTTCTTTGTGATGTTTGCATTCAAGTCACAGAGTTGAACATTCCCTTTCAGAGAGCAGGTTTGAAACACTCTTTTTGTAGTATCTGGATGTGGACATTTGGAGCGCTTTCAGGCCTATGGTGAAAAAGGAAATATCTTCCCCTGAAAACTAGACAGAAGCATTCTCAGAAACTTATTTGTGATGTGCGCCCTCAACTAACAGTGTTGAAGCTTTCTTTTGATAGAGCAGTTTTGAAACACTCTTTTTGTAATATCTGCAAGAGGATATTTGGATAGCTTTGAGGATTTCGTTGGAAACGGGATTGTCTTCATATAAACTCTAGACAGAAGCATTCTCAGAAGCTTCATTGGGATGTTTCAATTGAAGTCACAGTGTTGAACAGTCCCTTTCATAGAACAGGTTTGAAACACTCTTTTTGTAGTATCTGGAAGTGGACATTTGGAGCGCTCCCAGGACTATGGTGAAAAAGGAAATATCTTCCAATAAAAGCTACATAGAAGCATTCTCAGAAACTTATTTGTGATGTGCGCCCTCAACTAACAGTGTTGAAGCATTCTTTTGATAGAGCAGTTTTGAAACACTCTTTTTGTGGAATCTGCAAGTGGATGTTTGTCTAGCTTTGAGGATTTCGTTGGAAACGGGATTACATATAAAAAGCAGACAGCAGCATTCTCAGAATCTTATTTGTGATGTGCGCCCTCAACTAACAGTGTTGAAGCTTTCTTTTGATAGAGCAGTTTTGAAACGCTCTTTTTGTAAAATCTGCAAGAGGATATTTGGATAGCTTTGGGGATTTCTTTGGAAACGGGATTGTCTTCATGTAAACTCTAGACAGAAGCATTCTCAGAAGCTTTATTGGGATGTTTCAATTGAAGTCACAGTGTTGAACAGTCCCTTTCATAGAGCAGGTTTGAAACACTCTTTTTGTAGTATCTGGAAGTGGACATTTGGAGCGCTCTCAGGACTGCGGTGAAAAAGGAAATATCTTCCAATAAAAGCTACATAGAAGCAATGTCAGAAACTTTTTCATGATGTATCTACTCAGCTAACAGAGTTGAACATTCCTTTGAGAGAGCAGTTTTGAAACACTCTTTTTGTGGAATCTGCAAGTGGATATTTGTCTAGCTTTGAGGATTTCATTGGAAACGGGATTACATATAAAAAGCAGACAGCAGCATTCCCAGTAACTTCTTTGTGATGTTTGCATTCAAGTCACAGAGTTGAACATTCCCTTTCATAGAGCAGGTTTGAAACTCTCTTTTTGTAGTATCTGGATGTGGACATTTGGAGCGCTTTCAGGCCTATGGTGAAAAAGGAAATATCTTCCCCTGAAAACTAGACAGAAGCATTCTCAGAATCTTATTTGTGATGTGCGCCCTCAACTAACAGTGTTGAAGCTTTCTTTTGATAGAGCAGTTTTGAAACACTCTTTTCGTAAAATCTGCAAGAGGATATTTTGTTAGCTTTGAGGATTTCGTTGGAAACGGGATTGTCTTCATATAAACTCTAGACAGAAGCATTCTCAGAAGCGTCATTGGGATGTTTCAATTGAAGTCACAGTGTTGAACAGTCCCTTTCATAGAGCAGGTTTGAAACACTCTTTTTGTAGTATCTGGATGTGGACATTTGGAGCGCTTTCAGGCCTATGGTTTAAAAGGAAATATCTTCCCCTGAAAACTAGACAGAAGCATTCTCAGAAACTTATTTGTGATGTGCGCCCTCAACTAACAGTGTTGAAGCATTCTTTTGATAGAGCAGTTTTGAAACACTCTTTTTGTGGAATCTGCAAGTGGATATTTGTCTAGCTTTGAGGATTTCGTTGGAAACGGGATTACATATAAAAAGCAGACAGCAGCATTCTCAGAAACTTATTTGTGATGTGCGCCCTCAACTAACAGTGTTGAAGCTTTCTTTTGATAGAGCAGTTTTGAAACACTCTTTTTGTAATATCTGCAAGAGGATATTTGGATAGCTTTGAGGATTTCGTTGGAAACGGGATTAATTATACAAAGCAGACAGCAGCATTCTCAGAAGCTTCATTGGGATGTTTCAATTGAAGTCACAGTGTTGAACAGTCCCTTTCATAGAGCAGGTTTGAAACACTCTTTTTGTAGTATCTGGAAGTGGACATTTGGAGCGCTCTCAGGACTGCGGTGAAAAAGGAAATATCTTCCAATAAAAGCTAGATAGAAGCAATGTCAGAAACTTTTTCGTGATGTATCTACTCAGCTAACAGAGTTGAACCTTTCCTTTGAGAGAGCAGTTTTGAAACACTCTTTTTGTGGAATCTGCAAGTGGATATTTGTCTAGCTTTGAGGATTTCGTTGGAAACGGGATTACATATAAAAAGCAGACAGCAGCATTCCCAGTAACTTCTTTGTGATGTTTGCATTCAAGTCACAGAGTTGAACATTCCCTTTCATAGAGCAGGTTTGAAACACTCTTTTTGTAGTATCTGGATGTGGACATTTGGAGCGCTTTCAGGCCTATGGTGAAAAAGGAAATATCTTCCCCTGAAAACTAGACAGAAGCATTCTCAGAATCTTATTTGTGATGTGCGCCCTCAACTAACAGAGTTGAAGCTTTCTTTTGATAGAGCAGTTTTGAAACACTCTTTTTGTAAAATCTGCAAGAGGATATTTGGATAGCTTTGAGGATTTCGTTGGAAACGGGATTGTCTTCATATAAACTCTAGACAGAAGCATTCTCAGAAGCGTCATTGGGATGTTTCAATTGAAGTCACAGTGTTGAACAGTCCCTTTCATAGAGCAGGTTTGAAACACTCTTTTTGTAGTATCTGGATGTGGACATTTGGAGCGCTTTCAGCCCTATGGTGAAAAAGGAAATATCTTCCCCTGAAAACTAGACAGAAGCATTCTCAGAAACTTATTTGTGATGTGCGCCCTCAACTAACAGTGTTGAAGCATTCTTTTGATAGAGCAGTTTTGAAACACTCTTTTTGTGGAATCTGCAAGTGGATATTTGTCTAGATTTGAGGATTTCGTTGGAAACGGGATTACATATAAAAAGCAGACAGCAGCATTCTCAGTAAACTTATTTGTGATGTGCGCCCTCAACTAACAGTGTTGAACCTTTCTTTTGATAGAGCAGTTTTGAAACACTCTTTTTGTAATATCTGCAAGAGGATATTTGGATAGCTTTGAGGATTTCGTTGGAAACGGGATTGTCTTCATATAAACTCTAGACAGAAGCATTCTCAGAAGCTTCATTGGGATGTTTCAATTGAAGTCACAGTGTTGAACAGTCCCTTTCATAGAGCAGGTTTGAAACACTCTTTTTGTAGGATCTGGAAGTGGACATTTGGAGCGCTCTCAGGACTGCGGTGAAAAAGGAAATATCTTCCAATAAAAGCTAGATAGAAGCAATGTCAGAAAATTTCTCATGATGTATCTATTCAGCTAACAGAGTTGAACCTTTCTTTTGTGAGAGCAGTTTTGAAACACTATTTTTGTGGAATCTGCAAGTGGATATTTGTCTAGCTTTGAGGATTTCGTTGGAAACGGGATTACATATAGAAAGCAGACAGCAGCATTCCGAGAAACTTCTTTGTGATGTTTGCATTCAAGTCACAGAGTTGAACATTCCCTTTCATAGAGCAGGTTTGAAACACTCTTTTTGTAGTATCTGGATGTGTACATTTGCAGCGCTTTCAGGCCTAAGGTGAAAAAGGAAATATCTTCCCATGAAAACTAGACAGAAGCATTCTCAGAAACTTATTTGTGATGTGCGCCCTCAACTAACAGTGTTCAAGCTTTCTTTTGATAGAGCAGTTTTGAAACACTCTTTTTGTAATATCTGCAAGAGGATATTTGGATAGCTTTGAGGATTTCGTTGGAAACGGGTTTGTCTTCATATAAATTCTAGACAGAAGCATTCTCAGAAGCTTCATTGGGATGTTTCAATTGAAGTCACAGTGTTGAACAGTCCCTTTCATAGAGCAGGTTTGAAACACTCTTTTTGTAGTATCTGGATGTGGACATTTGGAGCGCTTTCAGGCCTATGGTTTAAAAGGAAATATCTTCCCCTGAAAACTAGACAGAAGCATTCTCAGAAACTTATTTGTGATGTGCGCCCTCAACTAACAGTGTTGTAGCATTCTTTTGATAGAGCAGTTTTGAAACACTCTTTTTGTGGAATCTGCAAGTGGATATTTGTCTAGCTTTGAGGATTTCGTTGGAAACGGGATTACATATAAAAAGCAGACAGCAGCATTCTCAGAAACTTATTTGTGATGTGCGCCCTCAACTAACAGTGTTAAACCTTTCTTTTCATAGAGTAGTTTTGAAACACTCTTTTTGTAAAATCTGCAAGAGGATATTTGGATAGCTTTGAGGATTTCGTTGGAAACGGGATTGTCTTCATATAAAATCTAGACAGAAGCATTCTCAGAAGCTTCATTGGGATGTTTCAATTGAAGTCACAGTGTTGAACAGTCCCTTTCATAGAGCAGGTTTGAAACACTCTTTTTGTAGTATCTGGAAGTGGACATTTGGAGAGATCTCAGGACTGCGGTGAAAAAGGAAATATCTTCCAATAAAAGCTAGATAGAAGCAATGTCAGAAAATTTTTCATAATGTATCTACTCAGCTAACAGAGTTGAACCTTTCTTTTGAGAGAGCAGTTTTGAAACACTCTTTTTGTGGAATCTGCAAGTGGATATTTGTCTAGCTTTGAGGATTTCGTTGGAAACGGGATTACATATAAAAAGCAGACAGCAGCATTCCCAGTAACTTCTTTGTGATGTTTGCATTCAAGTCACAGAGTTGAACATTCCCTTTCATAGAGCAGGTTTGAAACACTCTTTTTGCAGTATCTGGATGTGGACATTTGGAGCGCTTTCAGGCCTATGGTGAAAAAGGAAATATCTTCCCCTGAAAACTAGACAGAAGCATTCTCAGAAACTTATTTGTGATGTGCGCCCTCAACTAACAGTGTTGAACCTTTCTTTTGATAGAGCAGTTTTGAAACACTCTTTTTGTAATATCTGCAAGAGGATATTTGGATAGCTTTGAGGATTTCTTTGGAAACGGGATTGTCTTCATATAAACTCTAGACAGAAGCATTCTCAGAAGCGTCATTGGGATGTTTCAATTGAAGTCACAGTGTTGAACAGTCCCTTTCATAGAGCAGGTTTGAAACACTCTTTTTGTAGTATCTGGATGTGGACATTTGGAGCGCTTTCAGGCCTATGGTTTAAAAGGAAATATCTTCCCCTGAAAACTAGACAGAAGCATTCTCAGAAACTTATTTGTGATGTGCGCCCTCAACTAACAGTGTTGAAGCTTTCTTTTGATAGAGCAGTTTTGAAACACTCTTTTTGTAATATCTGCAAGAGGACATTTGGATAGCTTTGAGGATTTCGTTGGAAACGGGATTAATTATAAAAAGCAGACAGCAGCATTCTCAGCAAACTTATTTGTGATGTGCGCCCTCAACTAACAGTGTGGAACTTTTCTTTTGATAGAGCAGTTTTGAAACACTCTTTTTGTAAAATCTGCAAGAGGATATTTGGATAGCTTTGAGGATTTCGTTGGAAACGGGATTGTCTTCATATAGAATCTAGACAGAAGCATTCTCCGAAGCTTCATTGGGATGTTTCAATTAAAGTCACAGTGTTGAACAGTCCCTTTCATAGAGCAGGTTTGAAACACTCTTTTTGTAGTATCTGGAAGTGGACATTTGGAGCGCTCTCAGGACTGCGGTGAAAAAGGAAATATCTTCCAATAAAAGCTAGATAGAAGCAATGTCAGAAACTTTTTCATGATGTATCTACTCAGCTAACAGAGTTGAACCTTCATTTGAGAGAGCAGTTTTGAAACACTCGTTTTGTGGAATCTGCAAGTGGATATTTGTCTAGTTTTGAGGATTTCGTTGGAAACGGGATTACATATAAAAAGCAGACAGCAGCATTCCCAGAAACTTCTTTGTGAAGTTTGCATTCAAGTCACAGAGTTGAACATTCCCTTTCATAGAGCAGGTTTGAAACACTCTTTTTGTAGTATCTGTATGTGGACATTTGGAGCGCTTTCAGGCCTATGGTGAAAAAGGAAATATCTTCCCCTGAAAACTAGACAGAAGCATTCTCAGAATCTTATTTGTGATGTGCGCCCTCAACTAACAGAGTTGAAGCTTTCTTTTGATAGAGCAGTTTTGAAACACTCTTTTTGTAAAATCTGCAAGAGGATATTTGGATAGCTTTGAGGATTTCGTTGGAAACGGGATTGTCTTCATATAAACTCTAGACAGAAGCATTCTCAGAAGCTTCATTGGGATGTTTCAATTGAAGTCACAGTGTTGAACAGTCCCTTTCATAGAGCAGGTTTGAAACACTCTTTTTGTAGTATCTGGATGTGGACATTTCGAGCGCTTTCAGGCCTATGGTGAAAAAGGAAATATCTTCCCCTGAAAACTAGACAGAAGCATTCTCAGAAACTTATTTGTGATGTGCGCCCTCAACTAACAGTGTTGAAGCTTTCTTTTGATAGAGCAGTTTTGAAACACTCTTTTTGTGGAATCTGCAAGTGGATATTTGTCTAGCTTTGAGGATTTCGTTGGAAACGGGATTACATATAAAAAGCAGACAGCAGCATTCTCAGAAACTTATTTGTGATGTGCGCCCTCAACTAACAGTGTTGAAGCTTTCTTTTGATAGAGCAGTTTTGAAACACTCTTTTTGTAATATCTGCAAGAGGATATTTGGATAGCTTTGAGGATTTCGTTGGAAACGGGATTAATTATACAAAGCAGACAGCAGCATTCTCAGAAGCTTCATTGGGATGTTTCAATTGAGGTCACAGTGTTGAACAGTCCCTTTCATAGAGCATGTTTGAAACAATCTTTTTGTAGTATCTGGAAGTGGACATTTGGAGCGCTCTCAGGACTACGGTGAAAAAGGAAATATCTTCCAAATAAAGCTAGATAGAAGCAATGTCAGAAAATTTCTCATGATGTATCTATTCAGCTAACAGAGTTGAACCTTTCTTTTGAGAGAGCAGTTTTGAAACACTCTTTTTGTGGAATCTGCAAGTGGATATTTGTCTATCTTTGAGGATTTCGTTGGAAACGGGATTACATATAAAAAGCAGACAGCAGCATTCCCAGAAACTTCTTTGTGATGTTTGCATTCAAGTCACAGAGTTGAACATTCCCTTTCATAGAGCAGGTTTGAAACACTCTTTTTGTAGTATCTGGATGTGGACATTGGCAGCGCTTTCAGGCCTAAGGTGAAAAAGGAAATATCTTCCCCTGAAAACTAGACAGAAGCATTCTCAGAAACTTATTTGTGATGTGCGCCCTCAACTAACAGTGTTGAACCTTTCTTTTGATAGAGCAGTTTTGAAACACTCTTTTTGTAATATCTGCAAGAGGATATTTGGATAGCTTTGAGGATTTCGTTGGAAACGGTATTGTCTTCATGTAAACTCTAGACAGAAGCATTCTCAGAAGCTTCATTGGGATGTTTCAATTGAAGTCACAGTGTTGAACAGTCCCTTTCATAGAGCAGGTTTGAAACACTCTTTTTGTAGTATCTGGATGTGGACATTTGGAGCGCTTTCAGGCCTACGGTGAAAAAGGAAATATCTTCCCCTGAAAACTAGACAGAAGCATTCTCAGAAACTTATTTGTGATGTGCGCCCTCAACTAACAGTGTTGAAGCTTTCTTTTGATAGAGCAGTTTTGAAACACTCTTTTTGTGGAATCTGCAAGTGGATATTTGTCTAGCTTTGAGGATTTCGTTGGAAACGGGATTACATATAAAAAGCAGACAGCAGCATTCTCAGAAACTTATTTGTGATGTGCGCCCTCAACTAACAGTGTTGAAGCTTTCTTTTGATAGAGCAGTTTTGAAACACTCTTTTTGTAATATCTGCAAGAGGATATTTGGATAGCTTTGAGGATTTCGTTGGAAACGGGATTAATTATACAAAGCAGACAGCAGCATTCTCAGAAGCTTCATTGGGATGTTTCAATTGAAGTCACAGTGTTGAACAGTCCCTTTCATAGAGCAGGTTTGAAACACTCTTTTTGTAGTATCTGGAAGTGGACATTTGGAGCGCTCTCAGGACTGCGGTGAAAAAGGAAATATCTTCCAATAAAAGCTACATAGAAGCAATGTCAGAAACTT
The DNA here is from genome assembly GCF_000001405.40 of Homo sapiens. Lineage (NCBI taxonomy): Eukaryota > Metazoa > Chordata > Mammalia > Primates > Hominidae > Homo > Homo sapiens. Next base: position 94,023,858 of record NC_000002.12, read on the forward strand.
TTTCATGATGTATCTACTCAGCTAACAGAGTTGAACCTTTCCTTTGAGAGAGCAGTTTTGAAACACTCTTTTTGTGGAATCTGCAAGTGGATATTTGTCTAGCATTGAGGATTTCGTTGGAAACGGGATTACATATAAAAAGCAGACAGCAGCATTCCCAGAAATTTCTTTGTGATGTTTGCATTCAAGTCACAGAGTTCAACATTCCCTTTCATAGAGCAGGTTTGAAACACTATTTTTGTAGTATCTGGATATGGACATTTGGAGCGCTTTCAGACCTATGGTGAAAAAGGAAATATCTTCCCCTGAAAACTACACAGAAGCATTCTCAGAATCTTATTTGTGATGTGCGCCCTCAACTAACAGTGTTGAAGCTTTCTTTTGATAGAGCAGTTTTGAAACACTCTTTTTGTAAAATCTGCAAGAGGATATTTGGATAGCTTTGAGGATTTCGTTGGAAACGGGGTTGTCTTCATACAAAATCTAGACAGAAGCATTCTCAGAAGCTTCATTGGGATGTTTCAATTGAAGTCACAGTGTTGAACAGTCCCTTTCATAGAGCAGGTTTGAAACACTCTTTTTGTAGTATCTGGATGTGGACATTTGGAGCGCTTTCAGGCCTATGGTGAAAAAGGAAATATCTTCCCCTGAAAACTAGACAGAAGCATTCTCAGAAACTTATTTGTGATGTGCGCCCTCAACTAACAGTGTTGAAGCTTTCTTTTGATACAGCAGTTTTGAAACACTCTTTTTGTGGAATCTGCAAGTGTATATTTGTCTAGCTTTGAGGATTTCGTTGGAAACGGGATTACATATAAAAAGCAGACAGCAGCATTCTCAGAATCTTATTTGTGATGTGCGCCCTCAACTAACAGTGTTGAAGCTTTCTTTTGATAGAGCAGTTTTGAAACACTCTTTTTGTAAAATCTGCAAGACGATATTTGGATAGCTTTGAGGATTTCGTTGGAAACGGGATTGTCTTCATATAAACTCCAGACAGAAGCATTCTCAGAAGCTTCATTGGGATGTTTCAATTGAAGTCACAGTGTTGAACAGTCCCTTTCATAGAGCAGGTTTGAAACACTCTTTTTGTAGTATCTGGAAGTGGACATTTGGAGAGATCTCAGGAATACAGTGATAAATGAAATATCTTCCAATAAAAGCTAGATAGAAGCAATGTCAGAAACTTTTTCATGATGTATCTACTCAGCTAACAGAGTTGAACCTTCCTTTGAGAGAGCAGTTTTGAAACACTCTTTTTGTGGAATCTGCAAGTGGATATTTGTCTAGCTTTGAGGATTTCGTTGGAAACGGGATTACATATAAAAAGCAGACAGCAGCATTCCCAGAAACTTCTTTGTGATGTTTGCATTCAAGTCACAGATTTGAACATTCCCTTTCATAGAGCAGGTTTGAAACACACTTTTTGTAGTATCTGTATGTGGACATTTGGAGCGCTTTCAGGCCTATGGTGAAAAAGGAAATATCTTCCCCTTAAAACTAGACAGAAGCATTCTCAGAAACTTATTTGTGATGTGCGCCCTCAACTAGCAGTGTTGAAGCTTTCTTTTGATAGAGCAGTTTTGAAACACTCTTTTTGTAATATCTGCAAGAGGATATTTGGATAGCTTTGAGGATTTCGTTGGAAACGGGATTGTCTTCATATAAACTCTAGACAGAAGCATTCTCAGAAGCTTCATTGGGATGTTTCAATTGAAGTCACAGTGTTGAACAGTTCCTTTCATAGAACAGGTTTGAAACACTCTTTTTGTAGTATCTGGAAGTGGACATTTGGAGCGCTCTCAGGACTATGGTGAAAAAGGAAATATCTTCCAATAAAAGCTACATAGAAGCAATGTCAGAAACTTTTTCATGATGTATCTACTCAGCTAACAGAGTTGAACCTTTCTTTTGAGAGAACAGTTTTGAAACACTCTTTTTGTGGAATCTGCAAGTGGATATTTGTCTAGCTTTGAGGATTTCGTTGGAAACGGGATTACATATAAAAAGCAGACAGCAGCATTCCCAGAAACTTCTTTGTGATATTTGCATTCAAGTCACAGACTTGAACATTCCCTTTCATAGAGCAGGTTTGAAACACTCTTTTTGTAGTATCTGGATGTGGACATTTGGAGCGCTTTCAGGCCTATGGTGAAAAAGGAAATATCTTCCCCTGAAAACTAGACAGAAGCATTGTCAGAATCTTATTTGTGATGTGCGCCCTCAACTAACAGTGTTGAAGGTTTCTTTTGATAGAGCAGTTTTGAAACACTCTTTTCGTAAAATCTGCAAGAGGATATTTGGATAGCTTTGAGGATTTCGTTGGAAACGGGATTGTCTTCATATAAACTCTAGACAGAAGCATTCTCAGAAGCTTCATTGGGATGTTTCAATTGAAGTCACAGTGTTGAACAGTCCCTTTCATAGAGCAGGTTTGAAACACTCTTTTTGTAGTATCTGGATGTGGACATTTGGAGCGCTTTCAGGCCTATGGTGAAAAAGGAAATATCTTCCCCTGAAAACTAGACAGAAGCATTCTCAGAAACTTATTTGTGATGTGCGCCCTCAACTAACAGTGTTGAAGCTTTCTTTTGATAGAGCAGATTTGAAACACTCTTTTTGTGGAATCTGCAAGTGGATGTTTGTCTAGCTTTGAGGATTTCGTTGGAAACGGGATTACATATAAAAAGCAGACAGCAGCATTCTCAGAATCTTATTTGTGATGTGCGCCCTCAACTAACAGTGTTGAAGCTTTCTTTTGATAGAGAAGTTTTGAAACACTCTTTTTGTAAAATCTGCAAGAGGATATTTGGATAGCTTTGAGGATTTCGTTGGAAACGGGATTGTCTTCATATAAACTCTAGACAGAAGCATTCTCAGAAGCTTCATTGGGATGTTTCAATTGAAGTCACAGTGTTGAACAGTCCCTTTCATAGAGCAGGTTTGAAACACACTTTTTGTAGTATCTGGAAGTGGACATTTGGAGAGATCTCAGGAATACGGTGATAAAGGAAATATCTTCCAATAAAAGCTAGATAGAAGCAATGTCAGAAAATTTTTCATGATGTATCTACTCAGCTAACAGAGTTGAACGTTTCTTTGGAGAGAGTAGTTTTGAAACACTCTTTTTGTGGAATCTGCAAGTGGATATTTGTGTAGTTTTGAGGATTGCGTTGGAAACGGTATTACATATAAAAAGCAGACAGCAGCATTCCCAGTAACTTCTTTGTGATGTTTGCATTCAAGTCACAGAGTTGAACATTCCCTTTCATAGAGCAGGTTTGAAACACTCTTTTTGTAGTATCTGGATGTGGACATTTGGAGCGCTTTCAGGCCTATGGTGAAAAAGGAAATATCTTCTCCTGAAAACTAGACAGAAGCATTCTCAGAAACTTATTTGTGATGTGCGCCCTCAACTAACAGTGTTGAACCTTTCTTTTGATAGAGCAGTTTTGAAACACTCTTTTTGTAAAATCTGCAAGAGGATATTTGGATAGCTTTGAGGATTTCATTGGAAACGGGATTGTCTTCATATAAACTCTAGACAGAAGCATTCTCAGAAGCTTCATTGGGATGTTTCAATTGAAGTCACAGTGTTGAACAGTCCCTTTCATAGAGCAGGTTTGAAACACTCTTTTTGTAGTATCTGGATGTGGACATTTGGAGCGCTTTCAGGCCTATGGTTTAAAAGGAAATATCTTCCCCTGAAAACTAGACAGAAGCATTCTCAGAAACTTATTTGTGATGTGCGCCCTCAACTAACAGTGTTGAAGCTTTCTCTTGATAGAGCAGTTTTGAAACACTCTTTTTGTGGAATCTGCACGTGGATATTTGTCTAGCTTTGAGGATTTCGTTGGAAACGGGATTACATATAAAAAGCAGACAGCTAAGCATTCTCCGAAACTTATTTGTGATGGGCGCCCTCAACTAACAGTGTTGAAGCTTTCTTTTGATAGAGCAGTTTTGAAACACTCTTTTTGTAATATCTGCAAGAGGATATTTGGATAGCTTTCAGGATTTCGTTGGAAACGGGATTGTCTTCATATAAACTCTAGACATAAGCATTCTCAGAAGCTTCATTGGGATGTTTCAATTGAAGTCACAGTGTTGAACAGTCCCTTTCATAGAGCATGTTTGAAACAATCTTTTTGTAGTATCTGGAAGTGGACATTTGGAGCGCTCTCAGGACTACGGTGAAAAAGGAAATATCTTCCAAATAAAGCTAGATAGAAGCAATGTCAGAAACTTTTTCATGATGTATCTACTCAGCTAACAGAGTTGAACCTTTCTTTTGAGAGAGCAGTTTTAAAACACTCTTTTTGTGGAATCTGCAAGTGGATATTTGTCTACCTTTGAGGATTTCGTTGGAAACGGGATTACATATAAAAACCAGACAGCAGCGTTCCCAGAAACTTTTTTGTGATGTTTGCATTCAAGTCACAGAGTTGAACATTCCCTTTCATAGAGCAGGTTTGAAACACTCTTTTTGTAGTATCTGGTTGTGGACATTTGCAGCGCTTTCAGGCCTAAGGTGAAAAAGGAAATATCTTCCCCTGAAAACTAGACAGAAACATTCTCAGAAACTTATTTGTGATGTGCGCCCTCAACTAACAGTGTTGAAGCTTTCTTTTGATAGAGCAGTTTTGAAACACTCTTTTTGTAATATCTGCAAGAGGATATTTGGATAGCTTTGAGGATTTCGTTGGAAACGGGATTGTCTTCATATAAACTCTAGACAGAAGCATTCTCAGAAGCTTCATTGGGATGTTTCAATTGAAGTTACAGTGTTGAACAGTCCCTTTCATAGAGCAGGTTTGAAACACTCTTTTTGTAGTATCTGGATGTGGACATTTGGAGCGCTTTCAGGCCTATGGTTTAAAAGGAAATATCTTCCCCTGAAAACTAGACAGAAGCATTCTCAGAAACTTATTTGTGATGTGCGCCCTCAACTAACAGTGTTGAAGCTTTCTTTTGATAGAGCAGTTTTGAAACACTCTTTTTGTAATATCTGCAAGAGGATAATTGGATAGCTTTGAGGATTTCGTTGGAAACGGGATTAATTATAAAAAGCAGACAGCAGCATTCTCAGAAACTTATTTGTGATGTGCGCCCTCAACTAACAGTGTTGAAGCTTTCTTTTGATAGAGCAGTTTTGAAACACTCTTTTTGTAATATCTGCAAGAGGATATTTGGATAGCTTTGAGGATTTCGTTGGAAACGGGATTAATTATACAAAGCAGACAGCAGCATGTCCCAGAATCTTGTTTGTGATGTTTGCATTCAAGTCACAGAGTTGAACATTCCCTTTCAGAGAGCAGGTTTGAAACACTCTTTTTATAGTATCTGGAGGTGGACATTTGGAGCGCTTTCAGGCCTATGGTGAAAAAGGAAATATCTTCTCCTGAAAACTAGACAGAAGCAATGTCAGAAAATTTTTCATGATGTATCTACTCAGCTAACAGAATTGAACCTTTCTTTTGAGAGAGCAGTTTTGAAACACTCTTTTTGTGGAATCTGCAAGTGGATATTTGTCTAGCTTTGAGGATTTCGTTGGAAACGGGATTACATATAAAAAGCAGACAGCAGCATTCCCAGAAACTTCTTTGTGATGTTTGCATTCAAGTCACAGAGTTGAACATTCCCTTTCATAGAGCAGGTTTGAAACACTCTTTTTGTAGTATCTGGATGTGGACATTTGGAGCGCTTTCAGGCCTATGGTGAAAAAGGAAATATCTTCCCCTGAAAACTAGACAGAAGCATTCTCAGAAACTTATTTGTGATGTGCGCCCTCAACTAACACTGTTGAACCTTTCTTTTGATAGAGCAGTTTTGAAACACTCTTTTTGTAATATCTGCAAGAGGATATTTGGATAGCTTTGAGGATTTCGTTGGAAACGGGAATGTCTTCATATAAACTCTAGACAGAAGCATTCTCAGAAGCTTCATTGGGATGTTTCAATTGAAGTCACAGTGTTGAACAGTCCCTTTCATAGAGCAGGTTTGAAACACTCTTTTTGTAGTATCTGGATGTGGACATTTGGAGCGCTTTCAGGCCTATGGTTTAAAAGGAAATATCTTCCCCTGAAAACTAGACAGAAGCATTCTCAGAAACTTATTTGTGATGTGCGCCCTCAACTAACAGTGTTGAAGCTTTCTTTTGATAGAGCAGTTTTGAAACACTCTTTTTGTGGAATCTGCAAGTGGATATTTGTCTAGCTTTGAGGATTTCGTTGGAAACGGGATTACATATAAAAAGCAGACAGCAGCATTCTCAGTAAACTTATTTGTGATGTGCGCCCTCAACTAACAGTGTTGAACCTTTCTTTTGATAGAGCAGTTTTGAAACACTCTTTTTGTAATATCTGCAAGAGGATATTTGGATAGCTTTGAGGATTTCGTTGGAAACGGGATTGTCTTCATATAAACTCTAGACAGAAGCATTCTCAGAAGCTTCATTGGGATGTTTCAATTGAAGTCACAGTGTTGAACAGTCCCTTTCATAGAGCAGGTTTGAAACACTCTTTTTGTAGTATCTGGAAGTGGACATTTGGAGCGCTCTCAGGACTGCGGTGAAAAAGGAAATATCTTCCAATAAAAGCTAGATAGAAGCAATGTCAGAAACTTTTTCATGATGTATCTACTCAGCTAACAGAGTTGAACCTTTCTTTTGAGAGAGCAGTTTTGAAACACTCTTTTTGTAAAATCTGCAAGAGGATATTTGGATAGCTTTGAGGATTTCGTTGGAAACGGGATTGTGTTCATATAAACTCTAGACAGAAGCATTCCCAGAAACTTCTTTGTGACGTTTGCATTCAAGTCACAGAGTTGAACATTCCCTTTCATAGAGCAGGTTTGAAACACTCTTTTTGTAGTATCTGGATGTGGACATTTGGAGCGCTTTCAGGCCTATGGTGAAAAAGGAAATATCTTCCCCTGAAAACTAGACAGAAAGCATTCTCAGCAAACTTATTTGTGATGTGCGCCCTCAACTAACAGTGTTGAAGCTTTCTTTTGATAGAGCAGTTTTGAAACACTCTTTTTGTAAAATCTGCAAGAGGATATTTGGATAGCTTTGAGGATTTCGTTGGAAACGGGATTGTCTTCATATAAACTCTAGACAGAAGCATTCTCAGAAGCTTCATTGGGATGTTTCAATTGAAGTTGCAGTGTTGAACAGTCCCTTTCATAGAGCAGGTTTGAAACACTCTTTTTGTAGTATCTGGATGTGGACATTTGGAGCGCTTTCAGGCCTATGGTTTAAAAGGAAATATCTTCCCCTGAAAACTAGACAGAAGCATTCTCAGAAACTTATTTGTGATGTGCGCCCTCAACTAACAGTGTTGAAGCATTCTTTTGATAGAGCAGTTTTGAAACACTCTTTTTGTGGAATCTGCAAGTGGATGTTTGTCTAGCTTTGAGGATTTCGTTGGAAACGGGATTACATATAAAAAGCAGACAGCAGCATTCTCAGTAAACTTATTTGTGATGTGCGCCCTCAACTAACAGTGTTGAACCTTTCTTTTGATAGAGCAGTTTTGAAACACTCTTTTTGTAATATCTGCAAGAGGATATTTGGATAGCTTTGAGGATTTCGTTGGAAACGGGATTGTCTTCATATAAACTCTAGACAGAAGCATTCTCAGAAGCTTCATTGGGATGTTTCAGTTGAAGTCACAGTGTTGAACAGTCCCTTTCATAGAGCAGGTTTGAAACACTCTTTTTGTAGTATCTGGAAGTGGACATTTGGAGCGCTCTCAGGACTGCGGTGAAAAAGGAAATATCTTCCAATAAAAGCTAGATAGAAGCAATGTCAGAAACTTTTTCATGATGTATCTACTCAGCTAACAGAGTTGAACCTTTCCTTTGAGAGAGCAGTTTTGAAACACTCTTTTTGTGGAATCTGCAAGTGGAAATTTGTCTAGCTTTGAGGATTTCGTTGGAAACGGGATTACATATAAAAAGCAGACAGCAGCATTCCCAGAAACTTCTTTGTGATGTTTGCATTCAAGTCACAGAGTTGAACATTCCCTTTCATAGAGCAGGTTTGAAACACTCTTTTTGTAGTATCTGGATGTGGACATTTGCAGCGCTTTCAGGCATAAGGTGAAAAAGGAAATATCTTCCCCGAAAACTAGACAGAAGCTTTCTCAGAATCTTATTTGTGATGTGCGCCCTCAACTAACAGTGTTGAAGCTTTCTTTTGATAGAGCAGTTTTGAAACACTCTTTTCGTAAAATCTGCAAGAGGATATTTTGATAGCTTTGAGGATTTCGTTGGAAACGGGATTGTCTTCATATAAACTCTAGACAGAAGCATTCTCAGAAGCGTCATTGGGATGTTTGAATTGAAGTCACAGTGTTGAACAGTCCCTTTCATAGAGCAGGTTTGAAACACTCTTTTTGTAGTATCTGGATGTGGACATTTGGAGCGCTTTCAGGCCTATGGTTTAAAAGGAAATATCTTCCCCTGAAAACTAGACAGAAGCATTCTCAGAAACTTATTTGTGATGTGCGCCCTCAACTAACAGTGTTGAAGCTTTCTTTTGATAGAGCAGTTTTGAAACACTCTTTTTGTGGAATCTGCAAGTGGATGTTTGTCTAGCTTTGAGGATTTCGTTGGAAACGGGATTACATATAAAAAGCAGACAGCAGCATTCTCAGAATCTTATTTGTGATGTGCGCCCTCAACTGACAGTGTTGAAGCTTTCTTTTGATAGAGCAGTTTTGAAACACTCTTTTCGTAAAATCTGCAAGAGGATATTTGGATAGCTTTGAGGATTTCGTTGGAAACGGGATTGTCTTCATATAAACTCTAGACAGAAGCATTCTCAGAAGCTTCATTGGGATGTTTCAATTGAAGTCACAGTGTTGAACAGTCCCTTTCATAGAGCAGGTTTGAAACACTCTTTTTGTAGTATCTGGAAGTGGACATTTGGAACGCTCTCAGGACTGCGGTGAAAAAGGAAATATCTTCCAATAAAAGCTAGATAGAAGCAATGTCAGAAACACTTTCATGATGTATCTACTCAGCTAACAGAGTTGAAACTTTCTTTTGAGAGAGCAGTTTTGAAACATTCTTTTTGTGGAATCTGCAAGTGGATATTTTTCTAGCTTTGAGGATTTCGTTGGAAACGGGATTACATATAAAAAGCAGACAGCAGCATTCCCAGAAACTTCTTTGTGATGTTTGCATTCAAGTCACAGAGTTGAACATTCCCTTTCATAGAGCAGGTTTGAAACACTCTTTTTGTAGTATCTGGATGTGGACATTTGGAGCGCTTTCAGGCCTATGGTGAAAAAGGAAATATCTTCCCCTGAAAACTAGACAGAAGCATTCTCAGAATCTTATTTGTGATGTGCGCCCTCAACTAACAGTGTTGAAGCTTTCTTTTGATAGAGCAGTTTTGAAACACTCTTTTTGTAAAATCTGCAAGAGGATATTTGGATAGCTTTGAGGATTTCGTTGGAAACGGGATTGTCTTCATATAAACTCTAGACAGAAGAATTCTCAGAAGCTTCATTGGGATGTTTCAATTGAAGTCACAGTGTTGAACAGTCCCTTTCATAGAGCAGGTTTGAAACACTCTTTTTGTAGTATCTGGATGTGGACATTTGGAGCTTTTGCAGGCCTATAGTTTAAAAGGAAATATCTTCCCCTGAAAACTAGACAGAAGCATTCTCAGAAACTTATTTGTGATGTGCGCCCTCAACTAACAGTGTTGAAGCTTTCTTTTGATAGAGCAGTTTTGAAACACTCTTTTTGTGGAATCTGCAAGTGGATATTTGTCTAGCTTTGAGGATTTCGTTGGAAACGGGATTACATATAAAAAGCAGACAGCAGCATTCTCAGAAACTTATTTGTGATGTGCGCCCTCAACTAACAGTGTTGAAGCTTTCTTTTGATAGAGCAGTTTTGAAACACTCTTTTTGTAATATCTGCAAGAGGATATTTGGATAGCTTTGAGGATTTCGTTGGAAACGGGATTAATTATACAAAGCAGACAGCAGCATTCTCAGAAGCTTCATTGGGATGTTTCAATTGAAGTCACAGTGTTGAACAGTCCCTTTCATACAGCAGGTTTGATACACTCTTTTTGTTGTATCTGGAAGTGGACGTTTGCAGAGATCTCAGGAATACGGTGACAAAGGAAATATCTTCCAATAAAAGCTAGATAGAAGCAATGTCAGAAACTTTTTCATGATGTATCTACTCAGCTAACAGAGTTGAACCTTTTTTTTGAGAGAGCAGTTTTGAAACACTCTTTTTGTTCGATCTGCAGGTGGATATTTGTCTAGGTTTGAGGATTTCGTTGGAAACGGGATTACATATAAAAGCAGACAGCAGCATTCCCAGAAACTTCTTTGTGATGTTTGCATTCAAGTCACAGAGTTGAACATTCCCTTTCATAGAGCAGGTTTGAAACACTCTTTTTGTAGTATCTGGATGTGGACATTTGGAGCGCTCTCAGGCCTATGGTGAAAAAGGAAATATCTTCCCCTGCAAACTAGACAGAAGCATACTCAGAATCTTATTTGTGATGTGCGCCCTCAACTAACAGTGTTGAAACTTTCTTTTGATAGAGCAGTTTTGAAACACTCTTTTTGTAAAATCTGCAAGAGGATATTTGGATAGCTTTGAGGATTTCGTTGGAAACGGGATTGTCTTCATATAAACTCTAGACAGAAGTATTCTCAGAAGCTTCATTGGGATGTTTCAATTGAAGTCACAGTGTTGAACAGTCCCTTTCATAGAGCAGGTTTGAAACACTCTTTTTGTAGTATCTGGATGTGGACATTTAGAGCGTTTGCAGGCCTATGGTTTAAAAGGAAATATCTTCCCCTGAAAACTAGACAGAAGCATTCTCAGAAACTTATTTGTGATGTGCGCCCTCAACTAACAGTGTTGAACCTTTCTTTTGATAGAGCAGTTTTGAAACACTCTTTTTGTAATATCTGCAAGAGGATATTTGGATAGCTTTGAGGATTTCGTTGGAAACGGGATTACATATAAAAAGCAGACAGCAGCATTCTCAGAAACTTATTTGTGATGTGCGCCCTCAACTAACAGTGTTGAAGCTTTATTTTGATAGAGCAGTTTTGAAACACTCTTTTTGTAATATCTGCAAGAGAATATTTGGATAGCTTTGAGGATTTCGTTGGAAACGGGATTGTCTTCATATAAACTCTAGAAAGAAGCATTCTCAGAAGCTTCATTGGGATGTTTCAATTGAAGTCACAGTGTTGAACAGTCCCTTTCATAGAGCAGGTTTGAAACACTCTTTTTGTAGTATCTGGAAGTGGACATTTGGAGAGATCTCAGGAATACGGTGATAAAGGAAATATCTTCCAATAAAAGCTAGATAGAAGCAATGTCAGAAACTTTTTCTTGATGTATCTACTCAGCTAACAGAGTTGAACCTTTCCTTTGAGAGAGCAGTTTTGAAACACTCTTTTTATGGAATCTGCAAGTGGATATTTGTCTAGCTTTGAGGATTTCGTTGGAAACGGGATTACATATAAAAAGCAGACAGCAGCATTCCCAGAAACTTCTTTGTGATGTTTGCATTCAAGTCACAGAGTTGAACATTCCCTTTCATAGAGCAGGTTTGAAACACTCTTTTTGTAGTATCTGGATGTGGACATTTGGAGCGCTTTCAGGCCTATGGTGAAAAAGGAAATATCTTCCCCAGAAAACTAGACAGAAGCATTCTCAGAAACTTATTTGTGATGTGCTCCCTCAACTAACAGTGTTGAACCTTTCTTTTGATAGAGCAGTTTTGAAACACTCTTTTTGTAATATCTGCAAGAGGATATTTGGATAGCTTTGAGGATTTCGTTGGATACGGGATTGTCTTCATATAAACTCTAGACAGAAGCATTCTCAGATGCTTCATTGGGATGTTTCAATTGAAGTCACAGTGTTGAACAGTCCCTTTCATAGAGCAGGTTTGAAACACTCTTTTTGTAGTATCTGGATGTGGACATTTGGAGCGCTTTCAGGCCTATGGTGAAAAAGGAAATATCTTCCCCTGAAAACTAGACAGAAGCATTCTCAGAAACTTATTTGTGATGTGCGCCCTCAACTAACAGTGTTGAAGCATTCTTTTGATAGAGCAGTTTTGAAACACTCTTTTTGTGGAATCTGCAAGTGGATATTTGTCTAGCTTTGAGGATTTCGTTGGAAACGGGATTACATATAAAAAGCAGACAGCAGCATTCTCAGAATCTTATTTGTGATGTGCGCCCTCAACTAACAGTGTTGAACCTTTCTTTTGATAGAGCAGATTTGAAACACTCTTTTTGTAAAATCTGCAAGAGGATATTTGCATAGCTTTGAGGATTTCATTGGAAACGGGATTGTCTTCATATAAACTCTAGACAGAAGCATTCTCAGAAGCTTCATTGGGATGTTTCAATTGAAGTCACAGTGTTGAACAGTCCCTTTCATAGAGCAGGTTTGAAACACTCTTTTTGTAGTATCTGGAAGTGGACATTTGGAGCGCTCTCAGGACTACGGTGAAAAAGGAAATATCTTCCAATAAAAGCTACATAGAAGCAATGTCAGAAACACTTTCATGATGTATCTACTCAGCTAACAGAGTTGAACCTTTCTTTTGAGAGAGCAGTTTTGAAACACTCTTTTTGTGGAATCTGCAAGTGGATATTTGTCTAGCTTTGAGGATTTCGTTGGAAACGGGATTACATATAAAAAGCAGACAGCAGCATTCCCAGAAACTTCTTTGTGATGCTTGCATTCAAGTCACAGAGTTGAACATTCCCTTTCAGAGAGCAGGTTTGAAACACTCTTTTTGTAGTATCTGGATGTGGACATTTGGAGCGCTTTCAGCCCTATGGTGAAAAAGGAAATATCTTCCCCTGAAAACTAGACAGAAGCATTCTCAGAATCTTATTTGTGATGTGCGCCCTCAACTAACAGTGTTGAAGCTTTCTTTTGATAGAGCAGTTTTGAAACACTCTTTTTGTAAAATCTGCAAGAGGATATTTGGATATCTTTGAGGATTTCGTTGGAAACGGGATTGTCTTCATATAAACTCTAGACAGAAGCATTCTCAGAAGCTTCATTGGGATGTTTCAATTGAAGTCACAGTGTTGAACAGTCCCTTTCATAGAGCAGGTTTGAAACACTCTTCTTGTAGTATCTGGATGTGGACATTTGGAGCGCTTTCAGGCCTATGGTTTAAAAGGAAATATCTTCCCCTGAAAACTAGACAGAAGCATTCTCAGAAACTTATTTGTGATGTGCGCCCTCAACTACCAGTGTTGAAACATTCTTTTGATAGAGCAGTTTTGAAACACTCTTTTTGTGGAATCTGCAAGTGGATATTTGTCTAGCTTTGAGGATTTCGTTGGAAACGGGATTACATATAAAAAGCAGACAGCAGCATTCTCAGTAAACTTATTTGTGATGTGCGCCCTCAACTAACAGTGTTGAACCTTTCTTTTGATAGAGCAGTTTTGAAACACTCTTTTTGTAATATCTGCAAGAGGATATTTGGATAGCTTTGAGGATTTCGTTGGAAACGGGATTGTCTTCATATAAACTCTAGACAGAAGCATTCTCAGAAGCTTCATTGGGATGTTTCAATTGAAGTCACAGTGTTGAACAGTCCCTTTCATAGAGCAGGTTTGAAACACTCTTTTTGTAGTATCTGGAAGTGGACATTTGGAGCGCTCTCAGGACTGCGGTGAAAAAGGAAATATCTTCCAATAAAAGCTAGATAGAAGCAATGTCAGAAACTTTTTCATGATGTATCTACTCAGCTAACAGAGTTGAACCTTTCTTTTGAGAGAGCAGTTTTGAAACACTCTTTTTGTGTAATCTGAAAGTGGATATTTGTCTAGCTTTGAGGATTTCGTTGGAAACGGGATTACATATAAAAAGCAGACAGCAGCATTCCCAGTAACTTCTTTGTGATGTTTGCATTCAAGTCACAGAGTTGAACATTCCCTTTCATAGAGCAGGTTTGAAACACTCTTTTTGTAATATCTGCAAGAGGATATTTGGATAGCTTTGAGGATTTCGTTGGAAACGGGATTGTCTTCATATAAACTCTAGACAGAAGCATTCTCAGAATCTTATTTGTGATGTGCGCCCTCAACTAACAGTGTTGAAGCTTTCTTTTGATAGAGCAGTTTTGAAACACTCTTTTCGTAAAATCTGCAAGAGGATATTTTGATAGCTTTCAGGATTTCGTTGGAAACGGGATTGTCTTCATATAAAATCTAGACAGAAGCATTCTCAGAAGCTTCATTGGGATGTTTCAATTGAAGTCACAGTGTTGAACAGTCCCTTTCATAGAGCAGGTTTGAAACACTCTTTTTGTAGTATCTGGATGTGGACATTTGGAGCGCTTTCAGGCCTATGGTGAAAAAGGAAATATCTTCCCCTGAAAACTAGACAGAAGCATTCTCAGAAACTTATTTGTGATGTGCGCCCTCAACTAACAGTGTTGAAGCATTCTTTTGATAGAGCAGTTTTGAAACACTCTTTTTGTGGAATCTGCAAGTGGATATTTGTCTAGCTTTGAGGATTTCGTTGGAAACGGGATTACATATGAAAAGCAGACAGCAGCATTCTCAGAAACTTATTTGTGATGTGCGCCCTCAACTAACAGTGTTGAAGCTTTCTTTTGATAGAGCAGTTTTGAAACACTCTTTTTGTAATATCTGCAAGAGGATATTTGGATAGCTTTGAGGATTTCGTTGGAAACGGGATTAATTATACAAAGCAGACAGCAGCATTCTCAGAAGCTTCATTGGGATGTTTCAACTGAAGTCACAGTGTTGAACAGTCCCTTTCATAGAGCAGGTTTGAAACACTCTTTTTGTAGTATCTGGAAGTGGACATTTGGAGCGCTCTCAGGACTACGGTGAAAAAGGAAATATCTTCCAATAAAAGCTAGATAGAAGCAATGTCAGAAAATTTTTCATGATGTATCTACTCAGCTAACAGGGTTGAACCTTTCTTTTGAGAGAGCAGTTTTGAAACACTCTTTTTGTGGAATCTGCAAGTGGATATTTGTCTAGCTTTGAGGATTTCGTTGGAAACGGGATTACATATAAAAAGCAGACAGCAGCATTCCCAGAAAGATCTTTGTGAAATTTGCATTGAAGTCACAGAGTTGAACATTCCCTTTCATAGAGCAGGTTTGAAACACTCTTTTTGTAGTATCTGGATGTGGAGATTTGGAGCGCTTTCAAGCCTATGGTGAAAAAGGAAATATCTTCCCCTGAAAACTAGACAGAAGCATTCTCAGAAACTTATTTGTGATGTGCGCCCTCAACTAACAGTGTTGAACCTTTCTTTTGATAGAGTAGTTTTGAAACACTCTTTTTGTAAAATCTGCAAGAGGATATTTGGATAGCTTTGAGAATTTCGTTGGAAACGGGATTGTCTTCATATAAACTCTAGACAGTAGCATTCTCAGAAGCATCATGGGGATGTTTCAATTGAAGTCACAATGTTGAACAGTCCCTTTCATAGAGCAGGTTTGAAACACTCTTTTTGTAGTATCTGGATGTGGACATTTGAGCGCTTTCAGGCCTATGGTTTAAAAGGAAATATCTTCCCCTGAAAACTAGACAGAAGCATTCTCAGAAACTTATTTGTGATGTGCGCCCTCAACTAACAGTGTTGAAGCATTCTTTTGATAGAGCAGTTTTGAAACACTCTTTTTGTGGAATCTGCAAGTGGATATTTGTCTAGCTTTGAGGATTTCGTTGGAAACGGGATTACATATAAAAAGCAGACAGCAGCATTCTCAGAATCTTATTTGTGATGTGCGCCCTCAACTAACAGTGTTGAAGCTTTCTTTTGATAGAGCAGTTTTGAAACACTCTTTTTGTAAAATCTGCAAGAGGATATTTGGATACCTTTGAGGATTTCGTTGGAAACGGGATTGTCTTCATATAAACTCTAGACAGAAGCATTCTCAGAAGCTTCATTGGGATGTTTCAGTTGAAGTCACAGTGTTGAACACTCCCTTTCATAGAGCAGGTTTGAAACACTCTTTTTGTAGTATCTGGAAGTGGACACTTGGAGCGCTCTCAGGACTGCGGTGAAAAAGGAAATATCTTCCAATAAAAGCTAGATAGAAGCAATGTCAGAAACATTTTCATGATGTATCTACTCAGCTAACAGAGTTGAACCTTTCTTTTGAGAGAGCAGTTTTGAAACACTCTTTTGGTGGAATCTGCAAGTGGATATTTGTCTAGCTTTGAGGATTTCGTTGGAAACGGGATTACATATAAAAAGCAGACAGCAGCATTCCCAGAAACTTCTTTGTGATGTTTGCATTCAAGTCACAGAGTTGAACATTCCCTTTCATAGAGCAGGTTTGAAACACTCTTTTTGTAGTATCTGTATGTGGACATTTGGAGCGCTTTCAGGCCTATGGTGAAAAAGGAAATATCTTCCCCTGAAAACTAGACAGAAGCATTCTCAGAAACTTATTTGTAATGTGCGCCCTCAACTAACAGTGTTGAACCTTTCTTTTGATAGAGCAGTTTTGAAACACTCTTTTTGTAATATCTGCAGGAGGATATTTGGATAGCTTTGAGGATTTCGTTGGAAACGGGATTGTCTTCATATAAACTCTAGACAGAAGCATTCTCAGAAGCGTCATTGGGATGTTTGAATTGAAGTCACAGTGTTGAACAGTCCCTTTCATAGAGCAGGTTTGAAACACTCTTTTTGTAGTATCTGGATGTGGACATTTGGAGCGCTTTCAGGCCTATGGTTTAAAAGGAAATATCTTCCCCTGAAAACTAGACAGAAGCATTCTCAGAAACTTATTTGTGATGTGCGCCCTCAACTAACAGTGTTGAACCTTTCTTTTGATAGAGCAGTTTTGAAACACTCTTTTTGTAATATCTGCAAGAGGATATTTGGATAGCTTTGAGGATTTCGTTGGAAACGGGATTACATATAAAAAGCAGACAGCAGCATTCTCAGAAACTTATTTGTGATGTGCGCCCTCAACTAACAGTGTTGAAGCTTTCTTTTGATAGAGCAGTTTTGAAACACTCTTTTTGTAATATCTGCAAGAGGATATTTGGATAGCTTTGAGGATTTCGTTGGAAACGGGATTAATTATACAAAGCAGACAGCAGCATTCTCAGAAGCTTCATTGGGATGTTTCAATTGAAGTCACAGTGTTGAACAGTCCCTTTCATAGAGCAGGTTTGAAACACTCTTTTTGTAGTATCTGGAAGTGGACATTTGGAGCGCTCTCAGGACTGCGGTGAAAAAGGAACTATCTTCCAATAAAAGCTAGATAGAAGCAATGTCAGAAACTTTTTCATGATGTATCTACTCAGCTAACAGAGTTGAACCTTTCTTTTGAGAGAGCAGTTTTGAAACACTCGTTTTGTGGAATCTGCAAGTGGATAATTGTCTAGCTTTGAGGATTTCGTTGGAAACGGGATTACATATAAAAAGCAGACAGCAGCATTCCCAGAAACTTCTTTGTGATGTTTGCATTCAAGTCACACAGTTGAACATTCCCTTTCATAGAGCAGGTTTGAAACACTCTTTTTGTAGTATCTGGATGTGGACATTTGGAGCGCTTTCAGGCCTATGGTGAAAAAGGAAATATCTTCCCCTGAAAACTAGACAGAAGCATTCTCAGAATCTTATTTGTGATGTGCGCCCTCAACTAGCAGTGTTGAAACTTTCTTTTGATAGAGCAGTTTTGAAACACTCTTTTTGTAAAATCTGCAAGAGGATATTTGGATAGCTTTGAGGATTTCGTTGGAAACGGGATTGTCTTCATATAAAATCTAGACAGAAGCATTCTCAGAAGCTTCATTGGGATGTTTCAATTGAAGTCACAGTGTTGAACAGTCCCTTTCATAGAGCAGGTTTGAAACACTCTTTTTGTAGTATTTGGATGTGGACATTTGGAGCGCTTTCAGGCCTATGGTGAAAAAGGAAATATCTTCTCCTGAAAACTAGACAGAAGCATTCTCAGAAACTTACTTGTGATGTGCGCCCTCAACTAACAGTGTTGAAGCTTTCTTTTGATAGAGCAGTTTTGAAACACTCTTTTTGTGGAATCTGCAAGTGGATGTTTGTCTAGCTTTGAGGATTTCTTTGGAAACGGGATTACATATAAAAAGCAGACAGCAGCATTCTCAGAAACTTATTTGTGATGTGCGCCCTCAATTAACAGTGTTGAAGCTTTCTTTTGATAGAGCAGTTTTGAAACACTCTTTTTGTAAAATCTGCAAGAGGATATTTGGATAGCTTTGAGGATTTCGTTGGAAACGGGATTGTCTTCATATAAACTCTAGACAGAAGCATTCTCAGAAGCTTCATTGGGATGTTTCAATTGAAGTCACAGTGTTGAACAGTCCCTTTCATAGAGCAGGTTTGAAACACTCTTTTTGTAGTATCTGGAAGTGGACATTTGGAGAGATCTCAGGAATACGGTGATAAAGGAAATATCTTCCAATAAAAGCTAGATAGAAGCAATGTCAGAAACTTTTTCATGATGTATCTACTCAGCTAACAGAGTTGAACCTTTCTTTTGAGAGAGCAGTTTTGAAACACTCTTTTGGTGGAATCTGCAAGTGGATATTTTTCTAGCTTTGAGGATTTCGTTGGAAACGGGATTACATATAAAAAGCAGACAGCAGCATTCCCAGAAACTTCTTTGTGAGGTTTGCATTCAAGTCACAGAGTTGAACATTCCCTTTCATAGAGCAGGTTTGAAACACTCTTTTTGTAGTATCTGGATGTGGACATTTGCAGCGCTTTCAGGCCTAAGGTGAAAAAGGAAATATCTTCCCCTGAAAACTAGACAGAAGCATTCGCAGAATCTTATTTGTGATGTGCGCCCTCAACTAACAGTGTTGAAGCTTTCTTTTGATAGAGCAGTTTTGAAACACTCTTTTTGTAAAATCTGCAAGAGGATATTTGGATAGCTTTGAGGATTTCGTTGGAAACGGGATTGTCTTCATATAAACTCTAGACAGAAGCATTCTCAGAAGCTTCATTGGGATGTTTCAATTGAAGTCACAGTGTTGAAAAGTCCCTTTCATAGAGCAGGTTTGAAACACTCTTTTTGTAGTAGCTGGAAGTGGACATTTGGAGAGATCTCAGGAATAGAGTGATAAAGGAAATATCTTCCAATAAAAGCTAGATAGAAGCAATGTCAGAAACTTTTTCATGATGTATCTACTCAGCTAACAGAGTTGAACCTTCATTTGAGAGAGCAGTTTTGAAACACTCGTTTTGTGGAATCTGCAAGTGGATATTTGTCTAGCTTTGAGGATTTCGTTGGAAACGGGATTACATATAAAAAGCAGACAGCAGCATTCCCAGAAACTTCTTTGTGAAGTTTGCATTCAAGTCACAGAGTTGAACATTCCCTTTCATAGAGCAGGTTTGAAACACTCTTTTTGTAGTATCTGTATGTGGACATTTGGAGCGCTTTCAGGCCTATGGTGAAAAAGGAAATATCTTCCCCTGAAAACTAGACAGAAGCATTCTTAGAAACTTATTTGTGATGTGCGCCGTCAACTAACAGTGTTGAACCTTTCTTTTGATAGAGTAGTTTTGGAACACTCTTTTTGTAAAATCTGCAAGAGGATATTTGGATAGCTTTGAGTATTTCGTTGGAAACGGGATTGTCTTCATATAAACTCTAGACAGTAGCATTCTCAGAAGCGTCATTGGGATGTTTCAATTGAAGTCACAGTGTTGAACAGTCCCTTTCATAGAGCAGGTTTGAAACACTCTTTTTGTAGTATCTGGATGTGGACATTTGGAGCGCTTTCAGGCCTATGGTTTAAAAGGAAATATCTTCCCCTGAAAACTAGACAGAAGCATTCTCAGAAACTTATTTGTGATGTGCGCCCTCAACTAACAGTGTTGAAGCTTTCTTTTGATAGAGCAGTTTTGAAACACTCTTTTTATGGAATCTGCAAGTGGATATTTGTCTAGCTTTGAGGATTTCGTTGGAAACTTGATTACATATAAAAAGCAGACAGCAGCATTCTCAGTAAACTTATTTGTGATGTGCGCCCTCAACTAACAGTGTTGAACCTTTCTTTTGATAGAGCAGTTTTGAAACACTCTTTTTGTAATATCTGCAAGAGGATATTTGGATAGCTTTGAGGATTTCGTTGGAAACGGGATTGTCTTCATATAAACTCTAGACAGAAAGCATTCTTAGAAGCTTCATTGGGATGTTTCAATTGAAGTCACAGTGTTGAACAGTCCCTTTCATAGAGCAGGTTTGAAACACTCTTTTTGTAGTATCTGGAAGTGGACATTTGGAGAGATCTCAGGAATACGGTGATAAAGGAAATATCTTCCAATAAAAGCTAGATAGAAGCAATGTCAGAAAATTGTTCATGATGTATCTACTCAGCTAACAGAGTTGAACCTTTCTTTTGAGAGAGCAGTTTTGAAACACTCTTTTTGTGGAATCTGCAAGTGGATATTTGTCTAGCTTTGAGGATTGCGTTGGAAACGGGATTACATATAAAAAGCAGACAGCAGCATTCCCAGAAACTTCTTTGTGATGTTTGCATTCACGTCACAGAGTTGAACATTCCCTTTCATAGAGCAGGTTTGAAACACTCTTTTTGTAGTATCTGGATGTGGACATTTGGAGCGCTTTCAGGCCTATGGTGAAAAAGGAAATATCTTCCCCTGAAAACTAGACAGAAGCATTCTCAGAAACTTATTTGTGATGTGCGCCCTCAACTAACGGTGTTGAAGCTTTCTTTTGATAGAGCAGTTTTGAAACACTCTTTTTGTAAAATCTGCAAGAGGATATTTGGATAGCTTTGAGGATTTCGTTGGAAACGGGATTGTCTTCATATAGAATCTAGACAGAAGCATTCTCAGAAGCTTCATTGGGATGTTTCAATTGAAGTCACAGTGTTGAACAGTCCCTTTCATAGAGCAGGTTTGAAACACTCTTTTTGTAGTATCTGGATGTGGACATTTGGAGCGCTTTCAGGCCTATGGTGAAAAAGGAAATATCTTCCCCTGAAAACTAGACAGAAGCATTCCCAGAAACTTCTTTGTGATGTTTGCATTCAAGTCACAGAGTTGAACATTCCCTTTCATAGAGCAGGTTTGAAACACTCTTTTTGTAGTATCTGGATGTGGACATTTGGAGCGCTCTCAGGCCTATGGTGAAAAAGGCAATATCTTCCCCTGAAAACTAGACAGAAGCATTCTCAGAATCTTATTTGTGATGTGCGCCCTCAACTAACAGTGTTGAAGCTTTCTTTTGATAGAGCAGTTTTGAAACAGTCTTTTTCTAAAATCTGCAAGAGGATATTTGTATAGCTTTGAGGATTTCGTTGGAAACGGGATTGTCTTCATATAAACTCTAGACAGAAGCATTCTCAGAAGCTTCATTGGGATGTTTCAATTGAAGTCACAGTGTTGAACAGTCCCTTTCATAGAGCAGGTTTGAAACACTCTTTTTGTAGTATCTGGAAGTGGACATTTGGAGAGATCTCAGGACTACGGTGAAAAAGGAAATATCTTCCAATAAAAGCTAGATAGAAGCAATGTCAGAAACTTTTTCATGATGTATCTACTCAGCTAACAGAGTTGAACCTTTCTTTTGAGAGAGCAGTTTTGAAACACTCTTTTTGTGGAATCTGCAAGTGGATATTTGTCTAGCTTTGAGGATTTCGTTGGAAACGGGATTACATATTAAAAGCAGACAGCAGCATTCCCAGAAACTTCTTTGTGATGTTTGCATTCAAGTCACAGGAGTTGAACATTCCCTTTCATAGAGCAGGTTTGAAACACTCTTTTTGTAGTATCTGGATGTGGACATTTGGAGCGCTCTCAGGCCTATGGTGAAAAAGGAAATATCTTCCCCTGAAAACTAGACAGAAGCATTCTCAGAAACTTATTTGTGGTGTGCGCCCTCAACTAACAGTGTTGAAGCTTTCTTTTGATAGAGCAGTTTTGAAACACTCTTTTTGAAAAATCTGCAAGAGGATATTTGGATAGCTTTGAGGATTTCGTTGGAAACGGGATTGTCTTCATATACAATCTAGACAGAAGCATTCTCAGAAGCTTCATTGGGATGTTTCAATTGAAGTCACAGTGTTGAACAGTCCCTTTCATAGAGCAGGTTTGAAACACTCTTTTTGTAGTATCTGGATGTGGACATTTGGAGCGCTTTCAGCCCTATGGTGAAAAAGGAAATATCTTCCCCTGAAAACTAGACAGAAGCATTCTCAGAAACTTATTTGTGATGTGCCCCCTCAACTAACAGTGTTGAAGCTTTCTTTTGATAGAGCAGTTTTGAAACACTCTTTTTGTGGTATCTGCAAGTGGATATTTGTCTAGCTTTGAGGATATCGTTGGAAACGGGATTACATATAAGAAGCAGACAGCAGCATTCTCAGAAACTTATTTGTGATGTGCGCCCTCAACTAACAGTGTTGAAGCTTTCTTTTGATAGAGCAGTTTTGAAACACTCTTTTTGTAATATCTGCAAGAGGATATTTGGATAGCTTTGAGGATTTCGTTGGAAACGGGATTAATTATACAAAGCAGACAGCAGCATTCTCAGAAGCTTCATTGGGATGTTTCAATTGAAGTCACAGTGGTGAACAGTCCCTTTCATAGAGCAGGTTTGAAACACTATTTTTGTAGTATCTGGAAGTGGACATTTGGAGAGATCTCAGGAATACGGTGATAAAGGAAATATCTTCCAATAAAAGCTAGATAGAAGCAATGTCAGAAACTTTTTCATGATGTATCTACTCAGCTAACAGAGTTGAACCTTTCTTTTGAGAGAGCAGTTTTGAAACACTCTTTTTGTGGAATTTGCAAGTGGATATTTGTCTAGCTTTGAGGATTTCGTTGGAAACGGGATTACATATAAAAAGCAGACAGCAGCATTCCCAGAAACTTCTTTGTGATGTTTGCATTCAAGTCACGGAGTTGAACATTCCCTTTCATAGAGCAGGTTTGAAACACTCTTTTTGTAGTATCTGTATGTGGACATTTGGAGCGCTTTCAGGCCTATGGTGAAAAAGGAAATATCTTCCCCTGAAAACTAGACAGAAGCATTCTCAGAATCTTATTTGTGATGTGCGACCTCAACTAACAGTGTTGAAGCTTTCTTTTGATAGAGCAGTTTTGAAACACTCTTTTTGTAAAATCTGCAAGAGGATATTTGGATAGCTTTGAGGATTTCGTTGGAAACGGGATTGTCTTCATATAAACTCTAGACAGAAGCATTCTCAGAAGCATATCATTGGGATGTTTCAATTGAAGTCACAGTGTTGAACAGTCCCTTTCATGGAGCAGGTTTGAAACACTCTTTTTGTAGTATCTGGAATGTGGACATTTGGAGCGCTTTCAGGCCTATGGTGAAAAAGGAAATATCTTCCCCTGAAAACTAGACAGAAGCATTCTCAGAAACTTATTTGTGATGTGCGCCCTCAACTAACAGTGTTGAAGCTTTCTTTTGATAGAGCAGTTTTGAAACACTCTTTTTGTGGAATCTGCAAGTGGATATTTGTCTAGCTTTGAGGATTTCGTTGGAAACGGGATTACATATAAAAAGCAGACAGCAGCATTCTCAGAAACTTATTTGTGATGTGCGCCCTCAACTAACAGTGTTGAAGCTTTCTTTTGATAGAGCAGTTTTGAAACACTCTTTTTGTAATATCTGCAAGAGGATATTTGGATAGCTTTGAGGATTTCGTTGGAAACGGGATTAATTATACAAAGCAGACAGCAGCATTCTCAGAAGCTTCATTGGGATGTTTCAATTGAAGTCACAGTGTTGAACAGTCCCTTTCATAGAGCAGGTTTGAAACACTCTTTTTGTAGTATCTGGAAGTGGACATTTGGAGCGCTCTCAGGACTACGGTGAAAAAGGAAGTATCTTCCAATAAAAGCTAGATAGAAGCAATGTCAGAAACTTTTTCATGATGTATCTACTCAGCTAACAGAGTTGAACCTTTCTTTTGAGAGAGCAGTTTTGAAACACTCTTTTTGTGGAATCTGCAAGTGGATATTTGTCTAGCTTTGAGGATTTCGTTGGAAACAGGATTACATATAAAAAGCAGACAGCAGCATTCCCAGAAACTTCTTTGTGATGTTTGCATTCAAGTCACAGAGTTGAACATTCCCTTTCATAGAGCAGGTTTGAAACACTCTTTTTGTAGTATTTGGATGTGGACATTTGGAGCGCTTTCAGGCCTATGGTGAAAAAGGAAATATCTTCCCCTGAAAACTAGACAGAAGCATTCTCAGAATCTTATTTGTGATGTGTGCCCTCAACTAACAGTGTTGAAGCTTTCTTTTGATGGAGCAGTTTTGGAACACTCTTTTTGTAAATCTGCAAGAGTATATTTGGATAGCTTTGAGGATTTCGTTGGAAACGGGATTGTCTTCATATAAAATCTAGACAGAAGAATTCTCAGAAGCTTCATTGGGATGTTTCAATTGAAGTCACAGTGTTGAACAGTCCCTTTCATAGAGCAGGTTTGAAACACTCTTTTTGTAGTATCTGGATGTGGACATTTGGAGCTTTTGCAGGCCTATAGTTTAAAAGGAAATATCTTCCCCTGAAAACTAGACAGAAGCATTCTCAGAAACTTATTTGTGATGTGCGCCCTCAACTAACAGTGTTGAACCTTTCTTTTGATAGAGCAGTTTTGAAACACTCTTTTTGTAATATCTGCAAGAGGATATTTGGATAGCTTTGAGGATTTCGTTGGAAACGGGATTAATTATAAAAAGCAGACAGCAGCATTCTCAGAAACTTATTTGTGATGTGCGCCCTCAACTAACAGTGTTGAAGCTTTCTTTTGATAGAGCAGTTTTGAAACACTCTTTTTGTAATATCTGCAAGAGGATATTTGGATAGCTTTGAGGATTTCGTTGGAAACGGGATTAATTATACAAAGCAGACAGCAGCATTCTCAGAAGCTTCATTGGGATGTTTCAATTGAAGTCACAGTGTTGAACAGTCCCTTTCATAGAGCAGGTTTGAAACACTCTTTTTGTAGTATCTGGAAGTGGACATTTGGAGCGCTCTCAGGACTGCGGTGAAAAAGGAAATATCTTCCAATAAAAGCTACATAGAAGCAATGTCAGAAACTTTTTTATGATGTATCTGCTCAGCTAACAGAGTTGAACCTTTCTTTTGAGAGAGCAGCTTTGAAGCACTCTTTTTGTGGAATATGCAAGTGGATATTTGTCTAGCTTTGAGGATTTCGTTGGAAACGGGATTACATATAAAAAGCCGACAGCAGCATTCCCAGTAACTTCTTTGTGATGTTTGCATTCAAGTCACAGAGTTGGACATTCCCTTTCATAGAGCAGGTTTGAAACACTCTTTTTGTAGTATCTGGATGTGGACATTTGGAGCGCTTTCAGGCCAATGGGGAAAAAGGAAATATCTTCCCCTGAAAACTAGACAGAAGCATTCTCAGAAACTTATTTGTGATGTGCGCCCTCAACTAACAGTGTTGAAGCTTTCTTTTGATAGAGCAGTTTTGAAACACTCTTTTTGTAATATCTGCAAGAGGATATTTGGATAGCTTTGAGGATTTCGTTGGAAACGGGATTGTCTTCATATAAACTCTAGACAGAAGCATTCTCAGAAGCTTCATTGGGATGTTTCAATTGAAGTCACAGTGTTGAACAGTCCCTTTCATAGAGCAGGTTTGAAACACTCTTTTTGTAGTATCTGGATGTGGACATTTGGAGCGCTTTCAGGCCTATGGTTTAAAAGGAAATATCTTCCCCTGAAAACTAGACAGAAGCATTCTCAGAAACTTATTTGTGATGTGCGCCCTCAACTAACAGTGTTGAAGCATTCTTTTGATAGAGCAGTTTTGAAACACTCTTTTTGTGGAATCTGCAAGTGGATATTTGTCTAGCTTTGAGGATTTCGTTGGAAACGGGATTACATATAAAAAGCAGACAGCAGCATTCTCAGAAACTTATTTGTGATGTGCGCCCTCAACTAACAGTGTTGAAGCTTTCTTTTGATAGAGCAGTTTTGAAACACTCTTTTTGTAATATCTGCAAGAGGATATTTGGATAGCTTTGAGGATTTCGTTGGAAACGGGATTAATTATACAAAGCAGACAGCAGCATTCTCAGAAGCTTCATTGGGATGTTTCAATTGAATTCACAGTGTTGAACAGTCCCTTTCATAGAGCAGGTTTGAAACACTCTTTTTGTAGTATCTTGAAGTGGACCTTTGGAGCGCTCTCAGGACTGCGGTGAAAAAGGAAATATCTTCCAATAAATGCTAGATGGAAGCAATGTCAGAAACTTTTTCATGATGTATCTACTCAGCTAACAGAGTTGAACCTTTCTTTTGAGAGAGCAGTTTTGAAACACTCTTTTTGTGGAATCTGCAAGTGGATACTTGTCTAGCTTTGAGGATTTCGTTGGAAACGGGATTACATATAAAAAGCAGACAGCAGCATTCCCAGAAACTTCTTTGTGACGTTTGCATTCAAGTCACAGAGTTGAACATTCCCTTTCATAGAGCAGGTTTGAAACACTCTTTTTGTAGTATCTGGATGTGGACATTTGGAGCGCTTTCAGGCCTATGGTGAAAAAGGAAATATCTTCCCCTGAAAACTAGACAGAAGCATTCTGAGAATCTTATTTGTGATGTTCGCCCTCAACTAACAGTGTTGAAGCTTTCTTTTGATAGAGCAGTTTTGAAACACTCTTTTTGTAAAATCTGCAAGAGGATATTTGGATAGCTTTGAGGATTTCATTGGAAACGGGATTGTCTTCATATAAACTCTAGACAGAAGCATTCTCAGAAGCTTCATTGGGATGTTTCAATTGAAGTCACAGTGTTGAACAGTCCCTTTCATAGAGCAGGTTTGAAACACTCTTTTTGTAGTATCTGGATGTGGACATTTGGAGCGCTTTCAGGCCTATGGTTTAAAAGGAAATATCTTCCCCTGAAAACTAGACAGAAGCATTCTCAGAAACTTATTTGTGATGTGCGCCCTCAACTAACAGTGTTGAAGCATTCTTTTGATAGAGCAGTTTTGAAACACTCTTTTTGTGGAATCTGCAAGTGGATATTTGTCTAGCTTTGAGGATTTCGTTGGAAACGGGATTACATATAAAAAGCAGACAGCAGCATTCTCAGAAACTTATTTGTGATGTGCGCCCTCAACTAACAGTGTTGAAGCTTTCTTTTGATAGAGCAGTTTTGAAACACTCTTTTTGTAATATCTGCAAGAGGATATTTGGATAGCTTTGAGGATTTCGTTGGAAACGGGATTAATTATACAAAGCAGACAGCAGCATTCTCAGAAGCTTCATTGGGATGTTTCAATTGAAGTCACAGTGTTGAACAGTCCCTTTCATAGAGCAGGTTTGAAACACTCTTTTTGTAGTATCTGGAAGTGGACATTTGGAGAGATCTCAGGACTACGGTGAAAAAGGAAATATCTTCCAATAAAAGCTAGATAGAAGCAATGTCAGAAACATTTTCATGATGTATCTACTCAGCTAACAGAGTTGAACCTTTCTTTTGAGAGAGCAGTTTTGAAACACTCTTTTTGTGGAATCTGCAAGTGGATATTTGTCTAGCTTTGAGGATTTCGTTGGAAACGGGATTACATATAAAAAGCAGACAGCAGCATTCCCAGAAACTTCTTTGTGATGTTTGCATTCAAGTCACAGCGTTGAACATTCCCTTTCATAGAGCAGGTTTGAAACACTCTTTTTGTAGTATCTGGATGTGGACATTTGGAGCGCTTTCAGGCCTATGGTGAAAAAGGAAATATCTTCCCCTGAAAACTAGACAGAAGCATTCTCAGAATCTTATTTGTGATGTGCGCCCTCAACTAGCAGTGTTGAAACTTTCTTTTGATAGAGCAGTTTTGAAACACTCTTTTTGTAAAATCTGCAAGAGGATATTTGGATAGCTTTGAGGATTTCGTTGGAAACGGGATTGTCTTCATATAAAATCTAGACAGAAGCATTCTCAAAGGCTTCATTGGGATGTTTCAACTGAAGTCACAGTGTTGAACAGTCCCTTTCATAGAGCAGGTTTGAAACACTCTTTTGGTAGTATCTGGAAGTGGACATTTGGAGAGATCTCAGGACTGCGGTGAAAAAGGAATTATCTTCCAATAAAAGCTACATAGAAGCATTCTCAGAAACTTATTTGTGATGTGCGCCCTCAACTAACAGTGTTGAAGCATTCTTTTGATAGAGCAGTTTTGAAATACTCTTTTTGTGGAATCTGCAAGTAGATATTTGTCTAGCTTTGAGGATTTCGTTGGAAACGGGATTACATATAAAAAGCAGACAGCAGCATTCTCAGTAAACTTATTTGTGATGTGCGCCCTCAACTAACAGTGTTGAACCTTTCTTTTGATAGAGCAGTTTTGAAACACTCTTTTTGTAATATCTGCAAGAGGATATTTGGATAGCTTTGAGGATTTCGTTGGAAACGGGATTGTCTTCATATAAACTCTAGACAGAAGCATTCTCAGAAGCTTCATTGGGATGTTTCAATTGAAGTCACACTGTTGAACAGTTCCTTTCATAGAGCAGGTTTGAAACACTCTTTTTGTAGTATCTGGAAGTGGACATTTGGAGCGCTCTCAGGACTACGGTGAAAAAGGGAATATCTTCCAATAAAAGCTACATAGAAGCAATGTCAGAAAATTTTTCATGATCTATCTACTCAGCTAACAGAGTTGAACCATTCTTTTGAGAGAGCAGCTTTGAAACACTCTTTTTGTGGAATCTGCAAGTGGATATTTGTCTAGCTTTGAGGATTTCGTTGGAAACGGGATTACATATAAAAAGCAGACAGCAGCATTCCCAGAATCTTGTTTGTGAAGTTTGCATTCAAGTCACAGAGTTGAACATTCCCTTTCAGAGAGCAGGTTTGAAACACTCTTTTTATAGTATCTGGATGTGGACATTTGGAGCGCTTTCAGGCTTAAGGTGAAAAAGGAAATATCTTCCCCTGAAAACTAGACAGAAGCATTCTCAGAAACTTATTTGTGATGTGCGCCCTCAACTAACAGTGTTGAAGCTTTCTTTTGATAGAGCAGTTTTGAAACACTCTTTTTGTAATATCTGCAAGAGGATATTTGGATAGCTTTGAGGATTTCGTTGGAAACGGGATTGTCTTCATATAAACTCTAGACAGAAGCATTCTCAGAAGCTTCATTGGGATGTTTCAATTGAAGTCACAGTGTTGAACAGTCCCTTTCATAGAGCAGGTTTGAAACACTCTTTTTGTAGTATCTGGAAGTGGACATTTGGAGAGATCTCAGGAATACGGTGATAAAGGAAATATCTTCCAATAAAAGCTAGATAGAAGCAATGTCAGAAACTTTTTCATGATGTATCTACTCAGCTAACAGAGTTGAACCTTTCTTTTGAGAGAGCAGTTTTGAAACACTCTTTTTGTAAAATCTGCAAGAGGATATTTGGATAGCTTTGAGGATTTCGTTGGAAACGGGATTGTCTTCATATAAACTCTAGACAGAAGCATTCCCAGTAACTTCTTTGTGATGTTTGCATTCAAGTCACAGAGTTGAACATTCCCTTTCATAGAGCAGGTTTGAAACACTCTTTTTGTAGTATCTGGATGTGGACATTTGGAGCGCTTTCAGGCCTATGGTGAAAAAGGAAATATGTTCCCCTGAAAACTAGACAGAAGCATTCGCAGAATCTTATTTGTGATGTGCGCCCTCAACTAACAGTGTTGAAGCTTTCTTTTGATAGAGCAGTTTTGAAACACTCTTTTTCTAAAATCTGCAAGAGGATATTTGGATAGCTTTGAGGATTTCGTTGGAAACGGGATTGTCTTCATATAAACTCTAGACAGAAGCATTCTCAGAAGCTTCATTGGGATGTTTCAATTGAAGTCACAGTGTTGAACAGTCCCTTTCATAGAGCAGGTTTGAAACACTCTTTTTGTAGTATCTGGATGTGGACATTTGGAGCGCTTTCAGGCCTATGGTGAAAAAGGAAATATCTTCCCCTGAAAACTAGACAGAAGCATTCTCAGAAACTTATTTGTGATGTGCGCCCTCAACTAACAGTGTTGAAGCTTTCTTTTGATAGAGCAGTTTTGAAACACTCTTTTTGTAATATCTGCAAGAGGATATTTGGATAGCTTTGAGGATTTCGTTGGAAACGGGATTAATTATAAAAAGCAGACAGCAGCATTCTCAGTAAACTTATTTGTGATGTGCGCCCTCAACTAACAGTGTTGAACCTTTCTTTTGATAGAGCAGTTTTGAAACACTCTTTTTGTAATATCTGCAAGAGGATATTTGGATAGCTTTGAGGATTTCGTTGGAAACGGGATTGTCTTCATATAAACTCTAGACAGAAGCATTCTGATAAGCTTCATAGGGATGTTTCAATTGAAGTCACAGTGTTGAACAGTCACTTTCATAGAGCAGGTTTGAAACACTCTTTTTGTAGCATCTGGAAGTGGACATTTGGAGCGCTCTCAGGACTACGGTGAAAAAGGAAATATCTTCCAATAAAAGCTAGTTAGAAGAAATGTGAGAAAGTTTTTCATGATGTATCTACTCAGCTAAAAGAGTTGAACCTTTCTTTTGAGAGAGCAGTTTTGAAACACTCTTTTTGTGGAATCTGCAAGTGGATATTTGTCTAGCTTTGAGGATTTCGTTGGAAACGGGATTACATATAAAAAGCAGACAGCAGCATTCCCAGAAACTTCTTTGTGATGTTTGCATTCAAGTCACAGAGTTGAACATTCCCTTTCATAGAGCAGGTTTGAAACACTCTTTTTGTAGTATCCGGATGTGGAGATTTGGAGCGCTTTCAGGCCTATGGTTAAAAAGGAAATATCTTCCCATGAAAACTAGACAGAAGCATTCTCAGAAACTTATTTGTGATGTGCGCCCTCAAGTAACAGTATTAAACCATTCTTTTCATGGAGTAGTTTTGAAACACTCTTTTTGTAAAATCTGCAAGAGGATATT
The DNA here is from genome assembly GCF_000001405.40 of Homo sapiens. Taxonomy (NCBI): domain Eukaryota; kingdom Metazoa; phylum Chordata; class Mammalia; order Primates; family Hominidae; genus Homo; species Homo sapiens. The sequence continues at coordinate 94,054,853 of NC_000002.12, forward strand.
TGGATAGCTTTGAAGATTTCGTTGGAAACGGGATTGTCTTCATATAAACTCTAGACAGAAGCATTCTCAGAAGCTTCATTGGGATGTTTCAATTGAAGTCACAGTGTTGAACAGTCCCTTTCATAGAGCAGGTTTGAAACACTCTTTTTTTAGTATCTGGATGTGGACATTTGGAGCGCTTTCAGGCCTATGGTGAAAAAGGAAATATCTTCCCCTGAAAACTAGACAGAAGCATTCTCAGAAACTTATTTGTGATGTGCGCCTTCAACTAACAGTGTTGAAGCATTCTTTTGATAGAGCAGTTTTGAAACACTCTTTTTGTGGAATCTGCAAGTGGATATTTGTCTAGCTTTGAGGATTTCGTTGGAAACGGGATTACATATAAAAAGCAGACAGCAGCATTCTCAGAAACTTATTTGCGATGTGCGCCCTCAACTAACAGTGTTGAAGCTTTCTTTTGATAGAGCAGTTTTGAAACACTCTTTTTGTAAAATCTGCAAGAGGATATTTGGATAGCTTTGAGGATTTCGTTGGAAACGGGATTGTCTTCATATAAACTCTAGACAGAAGCATTCTCAGAAGCTTCATTGGGATGTTTCAATTGAAGTCACAGTGCTGAACAGTCCCTTTCATAGAGCAGGTTTGAAACACTCTTTTTGTAGTATCTGGAAGTGGACATTTGGAGCGCTCTCAGGACTGCGGTGAAAAAGGAAATATCTTCCAACAAAAGCTAGATAGAAGCAATGTCAGAAACTTTTTCATGATGTATCTACTCAGCTAACAGAGTTGAACCTTCCTTTGAGAGAGCAGTTTTGAAACACTCTTTTTGTGGAATCTGCAAGTGGATATTTGTCTAGCTTTGAGGATTCCGTTGGAAACGGGATTACATATAAAAAGTAGACAGCAGCATTCCCAGAAACTTCTTTGTGATATTTGCATTCAAGTCACAGAGTTGAACATTCCCTTTCATAGAGCAGGTTTGAAACACTCTTTTTGTAGTATCTGGATGTGGACATTTGGAGCGCTTTCAGGCCTATGGTGAAAACGGAAATATCTTCCCCTGAAAACTAGATAGAAGCATTCTCAGAAACTTATTTGTGATGTGCGCCCTCAACTAACAGTGTTGAACCTTTCTTTTGATAGAGCAGTTTTGAAACACTCTTTTTGTAAAATCTGCAAGAGGATATTTGCATAGCTTTGAGGATTTCGTTGGAAACGGGATTGTCTTCATATAAAATCTAGACAGAAGCATTCTCAGAAGCGTCATTGGGATGTTTCAATTGAAGTCACAGTGTTGAACAGTCCCTTTCATAGAGCAGGTTTGAAACACTCTTTTTGTAGTATCTGGATGTGGACATTTGGAGCGCTTTCAGGCCTATGGTTTAAAAGGAAATATCTTCCCCTGAAAACTAGACAGAAGCATTCTCAGAAACTTATTTGTGATGTGCGCCCTCAACTAACAGTGTTGAAGCATTCTTTTGATAGAGCAGTTTTGAAACACTCTTTTTGTGGAATCTGCAAGTGGATATTTGTCTAGCTTTGAGGATTTCGTTGGAAACGGGATTACATATAAAAAGCAGACAGCAGCATTCTCAGTAAACTTATTTGTGATGTGCGCCCTCAACTAACAGTGTTGAACCTTTCTTTTGATAGAGCAGTTTTGAAACACTCTTTTTGTAATATCTGCAAGAGGATATTTGGATAGCTTTGAGGATTTCGTTGGAAACGGGATTGTCTTCATATAAACTCTAGACAGAAGCATTCTCAGAAGCTTCATTGGGATGTTTCAATTGAAGTCACAGTGTTGAACAGTCCCTTTCATAGAGCAGGTTTGAAACACTCTTTTTGTAGTATCTGGAAGTGGACATTTGGAGCGCTCTCAGGACTACGGTGAAAAAGGAAATATCTTCCAATAAAAGCTACATAGAAGCAATGTCAGAAACTTTTTCATGATGTATCTACTCAGCTAACAGAGTTGAACCTTTCTTTTGAGAGAGCAGTTTTGAAACACTCTTTTTGTGGAATCTGGAAGTGGATATTTGTCTAGCTATGAGGATTTCGTTGGAAACGGGATTACATATAAAAAGCGGACAGCAGCATTCCCAGAATCTTGTTTGTGATGTTTGCATTCAAGTCACAGAGTTGAACATTCCCTTTCATAGAGCAGGTTTGAAACACTCTTTTTGTAGTATCTGGATGTGGACATTTGGAGCGCTTTCAGGCCTATGGTGAAAAAGGAAATATCTTCCCCTGAAAACTAGACAGAAGCATTTTCAGAATCTTATTTGTGATGTGCGCCCTCAACTAACAGTGTTGAAGCTTTCTTTTGATAGAGCAGTTTTGAAACACTCTTTTTGTAAAATCTGCAAGAGGATATTTGGATAGCTTTGAGGATTTCGTTGGAAACGGGATTGTCTTCATATAAACTCTAGACAGAAGCATTCTCAGAAGCTTCATTGGGATGTTTCAATTGAAGTCACAGTGTTGAACAGTCCCTTTCATAGAGCAGGTTTGAAACACTCTTTTTGTAGTATCTGGATGTGGACATTTGGAGCGCTTTCAGGCCTATGGTGAAAAAGGAAATATCTTCCCCTGAAAACTAGACAGAAGCATTCTCAGAAACTTATTTGTGATGTGCGCCCTCAACTAACAGTGTTGAAGCTTTCTCTTGATAGAGCAGTTTTGAAACACTCTTTTTGTGGAATCTGCACGTGGATATTTGTCTAGCTTTGAGGATTTCGTTGGAAACGGGATTACATATAAAAAGCAGACAGCAGCATTCTCAGAAACTTATTTGTGATGTGCGCCCTCAACTAACAGTGTTGAAGCTTTCTTTTGATAGAGCAGTTTTGAAACACTCTTTTTGTAATATCTGCAAGAGGATATTTGGATAGCTTTGAGGATTTCGTTGGAAACGGGATTAATTATACAAAGCAGACAGCAGCATTCTCAGAAGCTTCATTGGGATGTTTCAATTGAAGTCACAGTGTTGAACAGTCCCTTTCATAGAGCAGGTTTGAAACACTCTTTTTGTAGTATTTGGAAGTGGACATTTGGAGAGATCTCAGGAATACGGGGATAAAGGAAATATCTTCCAATAAAAGCTAGATAGAAGCAATGTCAGAAACTTTTTCATGATGTATCTACTCAGCTAACAGAGTTGAACCTTCATTTGAGAGAGCAGTTTTGAAACACTCGTTTTGTGGAATCTGCAAGTGGATATTTGTCTAGCTTTGAGGATTTCGTTGGAAACGGGATTACATATAAAAAGCAGACAGCAGCATTCCCAGAAACTTCTTTGTGATGTTTGCATTCAAGTCACAGAGTTGAACACTCCCTTTCATAGAGAAGGTTTGAAACACTCTTTTTGTAGTATCTGGATGTGCACATTTGGAGCGCTTTCAGGCCTATGGTGAAAAAGGAAATATCTTCCCCTGAAAACTAGACAGAAAGCATTCTCAGCAAACTTATTTGTGATGTGCGCCCTCAACTAACAGTGTTGAAGCTTTCTTTTGATAGAGCAGTTTTGAAACACTCTTTTTGTAAAATCTGCAAGAGGATATTTGGATAGCTTTGAGGATTTCGTTGGAAACGGGATTGTCTTCATATAAACTCTAGACAGAAGCATTCTCAGAAGCGTCATTAGGATGTTTCAATTGAAGTCACAGTGTTGAACAGTCCCTTTCATAGAGCAGGTTTGAAACACTCTTTTTGTAGTATCTGGATGTGGACATTTGGAGCGCTTTCAGGCCTATGGTTTAAAAGGAAATATCTTCCCCTGAAAACTAGACAGAAGCATTCTCAGAAACTTATTTGTGATGTGCGCCCTCAACTAACAGTGTTGAACCTTTCTTTTGAGAGAGCAGTTTTGAAACACTCTTTTTGTGGAATCTGCAAGTGGATATTTGTCTAGCTTTGAGGATTTCGTTGGAAACGGGATTACATATAAAAAGCAGACAGCAGCATTCTCAGCAAACTTATTTGTGATGTGCGCCCTCAACTAACAGTGTGGAACTTTTCTTTTGATAGAGCAGTTTTGAAACACTCTTTTTGTAAAATCTGCAAGAGGATATTTGGATAGCTTTGAGGATTTCGTTGGAAACGGGATTGTCTTCATATAGAATCTAGACAGAAGCATTCTCAGAAGCTTCATTGGGATGTTTCAATTGAAGTCATAGTGTTGAACAGTCCCTTTCATAGAGCAGGTTTGAAACACTCTTTTTGTAGTATCTGGAAGTGGACATTTGGAGAGATCTCAGGAATACGGTGATAAAGGAAATATCTTCCAATAAAAGCTAGATAGAAGCAATGTCAGAAACTTTTTCATGATGTATCTACTCAGCTAACAGAGTTGAACCTTTCCTTTGAGAGAGCAGTTTTGAAACACTCTTTTTGTGGAATCTGCAAGTGGATATTTGTCTAGCTTTGAGGATTGCGTTGGAAACGGGATTACATATAAAAAGCAGACAGCAGCATTCCCAGAAACTTCTTTGTGATGTTTGCATTCAAGTCACAGAGTTGAACATTCCCTTTCATAGAGCAGGTTTGAAACACTCTTTTTGTAGTATCTGGATGTGGACATTTGGAGTGCTTTCAAGCCTATGGTGAAAAAGGAAATATCTTCCCCTGAAAACTAGACAGAAGAATTCTCAGAATCTTATTTGTGATGTGCGCCATCAACTAACAGTGTTGAAGCTTTCTTTTGATAGAGCAGTTTTGAAACACTCTTTTTGTAAAATCTGCAAGAGGATATTTGGATAGCTTTGAGGATTTCGTTGGAAACGGGATTGTCTTCATATAAACTCTACACAGAAGCATTCTCAGAAGCGTCATTGGGATGTTTCAATTGAAGTCACAGTGTTGAAAAGTCCCTTTCATAGAGCAGGTTTGAAACACTCTTTTTGTAGTATCTGGATGTGGACATTTGGAGCGCTTTCAGGCCTATGGTTTAAAAGGAAATATCTTCCCCTGAAAACTAGACAGAAGCATTCTCAGAAACTTATTTGTGATGTGCGCCCTCAACTAACAGTGTTGAAGCATTCTTTTGATAGAGCAGTTTTGAAACACTCTTTTTGTGGAATCTGGAAGTGGATATTTGTCTAAATTTGAGGATTTCGTTGGAAACGGGATTACATATAAAAAGCAGACAGCAGCATTCTCAGAAACTTATTTGTGATGTGCGCCCTCAACTAACAGTGTTGAAGCTTTCTTTTGATAGAGCAGTTTTGAAACACTCTTTTTGTAATATCTGCAAGAGGATATTTGGATAGCTTTGAGGATTTCGTTGGAAACGGGATTAATTATACAAAGCAGACAGCTGCATTCTCAGAAGCTTCATTGGGATGTTTCAATTGAAGTCACAGTGTTGAACAGTCCCTTTCATAGAGCAGGTTTGAAACACTCTTTTTGTAGCATCTGGAAGTGGACATTTGGAGCGTTCTCAGGACTACGGTGAAAAAGGAAATATCTTCCAATAAAAGCTAGATAGAAGCAATGTCAGAAACTTTTTCATGATGTATCTACTCAGCTAACAGCAGTTGAACCTTTCTTTTGAGACAGCAGTTTTGAAACACTCTTTTTGTGGAATCTGGAAGTGGATATTTGTCTAGCTTTGAGGATTTCGTTGGAAACGGGATTACATATAAAAAGCAGACAGCAGCATTCCCAGAATCTTCTTTGTGATGTTTGCATTCAAGTCCCAGAGTTGAACATTCCGTTTCATAGAGCAGGTTTGAAACACTCTTTTTATAGTATCTGGATGTGGACATTTGGAGCGCTTACAGGCCTATGGTGAAAAAGGAAATATCTTCTCCTGAAAACAAGACAGAAGCATTCTCAGAATCTTATTTGTGATGTGCGCCCTCAGCTAACAGTGTTGAAGCTTTCTTTTGATAGAGCAGTTTTGAAACAATCTTTTTGTAAAATCTGCAAGAGGATATTTGGATAGCTTTGAGGATTTCATTGGAAACGGGATTTTCTTCATATAAACTCAAGACAGAAGCATTCTCAGAAGCTTCATTGGGATGTTTCAATTGAAGTCACAGTGTTGAACAGTCCCTTTCATAGAGCAGGTTTGAAACACTCTTTTTGTAGTATCTGGATGTGGACATTTGGAGCGCTTTCAGGCCTATGGTTTAAAAGGAAATATCTTCCCCTGAAAACTAGACAGAAGCATTCTCAGAAACTTATTTGTGATGTGCGCCCTCAACTAACAGTGTTGAAGCTTTCTTTTGATAGAGCAGTTTTGAAACACTCTTTTTGTGGAATCTGCAAGTGGATATTTTTCTAGCTTTGAGGATTTCGTTGGAAACGGGATTACATATAAAAAGCAGACAGCAGCATTCTCAGAAACTTATTTGTGATGTGCGCCCTCAACTAACAGTGTTGAAGCTTTATTTTGATAGAGCAGTTTTGAAACACTCTTTTTGTAATATCTGCAAGAGAATATTTGGATAGCTTTGAGGATTTCGTTGGAAACGGGATTGTCTTCATATAAACTCTAGAAAGAAGCATTCTCAGAAGCTTCATTGGGATGTTTCAATTGAAGTCACAGTGTTGAACAGTCCCTTTCATAGAGCAGGTTTGAAACACTCTTTTTGTAGTATCTGGAAGTGGACATTTGGAGAGATCTCAGGAATACGGTGATAAAGGAAATATCTTCCAATAAAAGCTAGATAGAAGCAATGTCAGAAACTTTTTCATGATGTATCTACTCAGCTAACAGAGTTGAACCTTTCTTTTGAGAGAGCAGTTTTGAAACACTCTTTTTGTGGAATCTGCAAGTGGATATTTGTCTAGCTTTGAGGATTTCGTTGGAAACGGGATTACATATAAAAAGCAGACAGCAGCATTCCCAGAAACTTCTTTGTGATGTTTGCATTCAAGTGTCAGAGTTGAACATTCCCTTTCATAGAGCAGGTTTGAAACACTCTTTTTGTAGTATCTGCATGTGGACATTTGGAGCGCTTTCAGCCCTATGGTGAAAAAGGAAATATCTTCCCCTGAAAACTAGACAGAAGCATTCTCAGAAACTTATTTGTGATGTGCGCCCTCAACTAACAGTGTTGAAGCTTTCTTTTGATAGAGCAGTTTTGAAACACTCTTTTTGTAATATCTGCAAGAGGATATTTGGATAGCTTTGAGGATTTCGTTGGAAACGGGATTGTCTTCATATAAACTCTAGACAGAAGCATTCCCAGAAACTTCTTTGTGATGTTTGCATTCAAGTCACAGAGTTGAATATTCCCTTTCATAGAGCAGGTTTGAAACACTCTTTTTGTAGTATCTGGATGTGGACATTTGGAGCGCTTTCAGACCTATGGTGAAAAAGGAAATATCTTCCCCTGAAAACTAGACAGAGGCATTCTCAGAAACTTATTTGTGATGTGCGCCCTCAACTAACAGTGTTGAACCTTTCTTTTGATAGAGCTGTTTTGAAACACTCTTTTTGTAATATCTGCAAGAGGATATTTGGATAGCTTTGAGGATTTCGTTGGAAACGGGATTGCATATAAAAAGCAGACAGCTAAGCATTCTCCGAAACTTATTTGTGATGGGCGCCCTCAACTAACAGTGTTGAAGCTTTCTTTTGATAGAGCAGTTTTGAAACACTCTTTTTGTAATATCTGCAAGAGGATATTTGGATAGCTTTCAGGATTTCGTTGGAAACGGGATTGTCTTCATATAAACTCTAGACATAAGCATTCTCAGAAGCTTCATTGGGATGTTTCAACTGAAGTCACAGTGTTGAACATTCCCTTTCATAGAGCAGGTTTGAAACACTCTTTTTGTAGTATCTGGAAGTGGACATTTGGAGCGCTCTCAGGACTACGGTGAAAAAGGAAATATCTTCCAATAAAAGCTAGATAGAAGCAATGTCAGAAACTTTTTCATGATGTATCTACTCAGCTAACAGAGTTGAACCTTCCTTTTGAGAGAGCAGTTTTGAAACACTCTTTTTGTGCAATCTGCAAGTGGATATTTGTCTAGCTTTGAGGATTTCGTTGGAAACGGGATTACATATAAAAAGCAGACAGCAGCATTCCCAGAAACTTCTTTGTGACGTTTGCATTCAAGTCACAGAGTTGAACATTCCCTTTCATAGAGCAGGTTTGAAACACTCTTTTTGTAGTATCTGGATGTGGACATTTGGAGCGCTTTCAGGCCTATGGTGAAAAAGGAAATATCTTCCCCTGAAAACTAGACAGAAGCATTCTCAGAAACTTATTTGTGATGTGCTCCCTCAACTAACAGTGTTGAACCTTTCTTTGATAGAGCAGTTTTGAAACACTCTTTTTGTAATATCTGCAAGAGGATATTTGGATAGCTTTGAGGATTTCGTTGGAAACGGGATTGTCTTCATATAAACTCTAGACAGAAGCATTCTCAGAAGCTTCATTGGGATGTTTCAATTGAAGTCACAGTGTTGAACACTCCCTTTCATAGAGCAGGTTTGAAACACTCTTTTTGTAGTATCTGGATGTGGACATTTGGAGCGCTTTCAGGCCTATGGTTTAAAAGGAAATATCTTCCCCTGAAAACTAGACAGAAGCATTCTCAGTAAACTTATTTGTGATGTGCGCCCTCAACTAACAGTGTTGAAGCATTCTTTTGATAGAGCAGTTTTGAAACACTCTTTTTGTGGAATCTGCAAGTGGATATTTGTCTAGCTTTGAGGATTTCGTTGGAAACGGGATTACATATAAAAAGCAGACAGCAGCATTCTCAGAAACTTATTTGTGATGTGCGCCCTCAACTAACAGTGTTGAAGCTTTCTTTTGATAGAGCAGTTTTGAAACACTCTTTTTGTAATATCTGCAAGAGGATATTTGGATAGCTTTGAGGATTTCGTTGGAAACGGGATTAATTATACAAAGCAGACAGCAGCATTCCCAGAAGCTTCATTGGGATGTTTCAATTGAAGTCACAGTGTTGAACAGTTCCTTTCATAGAACAGGTTTGAAACACTCTTTTTGTAGTATCTGGAAGTGGACATTTGGAGCGCTCTCAGGACTGTGGTGAAAAAGGAAATATCTTCCAATAAAAGCTACATAGAAGCAATGTCAGAAACTTTTTGATGATGTATCTACTCAGCTAACAGAGTTGAACCTTTCCTTTGAGAGAGCAGTTTTGAAACACTCTTTTTGTGGAATCTGCAAGTGGATATTTGTCTAGCTTTGAGGATTTCGTTGGAAACGGGATTACATATAAAAAGCAGACAGCAGCATTCCCAGAAACTTCTTTGTGAAGTTTGCATTCAAGTCACAGAGTTGAACATTCCCTTTCATAGAGCAGGTTTGAAACCCTCTTTTTGTAGTATCTGTATGTGGACATTTGGAGCGCTTTCAGGCCTATGGTGAAAAAGGAAATATCTTCCCCTGAAAACTAGAGAGAAGCATTCTCAGAATCTTATTTGTGATGTGCGCCCTCAACTAACAGTGTTGAAGCTTTCTTTTGATAGAGCAGTTTTGAAACACTCTTTTTGTAAAATCTGCAAGAGGATATTTGGATAGCTTTGAGGATTTCGTTGGAAACGGGATTGTCTTCATATAAACTCTAGACAGAAGCATTCTCAGAAGCTTCATTGGGATGTTTCAATTGAAGTTACAGCGTTGAGCAGTCCCTTTCATAGAGCAGGTTTCAAACACTCTTTTTGTAGTATCTGGATGTGGACATTTGGAGCGCTTTCAGGCCTATGGTTTAAAAGGAAATATCTTCCCCTGAAAACTAGACAGAAGCATTCTCTGAAACTTATTTGTGATGTGTGTACTCAACTAACAGAATTGAACCATCGTTTTGAAAGAGCAATTTTGAAACACTCTTTTTCTGGAATCTGCAAGTCGATATTTGTCTAGCATTGAGGATTTCGTTGGAAACGGGATTACAAATAAAAAGCAGACAGCAGCATTCTCAGAAACTTATTTGTGATGTGCGCCCTCAACTAACAGTGTTGAAGCTTTCTTTTGATAGAGCAGTTTTGAAACACTCTTTTTGTAATATCTGCAAGAGGATATTTGGATAGCTTTGAGGATTTCGTTGGAAACGGGATTAATTATACAAAGCAGACAGCTAGCATTCTGAGAAGCTTCATTGGGATGTTTCAATTGAAGTCACAGTGTTGAACAGTCCCTTTCATAGAGCATGTTTGAAACAATCTTTTTGTAGCATCTGGAAGTGGACATTTGGAGCGTTCTCAGGACTACGGTGAAAAAGGAAATATCTTCCAAATAAAGCTAGATAGAGCAAAGTCAGAAACTTTTTCATGATGTATCTACTCAGCTAACAGAGTTGAACCTTTCTTTTGAGAGAGCAGTTTTGAAACACTCTTTTTGTGGAATCTGCAAGTGGATATTTGTCTAGCTTTGAGGATTTCGTTGGAAACGGGATTACATATAAAAAGCAGACAGCAGCATTCCCAGAAACTTCTTTGTGATGTTTGCATTCAAGTCACAGAGTTGAACATTCCCTTTCATAGAGCAGGTTTGAAACACTCTTTTTGTAGTATCTGGATGTGGACATTTGGAGCGCTTTCAGGCCTATGGTGAAAAAGGAAATATCTTCCCCTGAAAACTAGACAGAAGCATTCTCAGAAACTTATTTGTGATGTGCGCCCTCAACTAACAGTGTTGAAGCTTTCTTTTGATAGAGCAGTTTTGAAACACTCTTTTTGTAATATCTGCAAGAGGATATTTGGATAGCTTTCAGGATTTCGTTGGAAACGGGATTGTCTTCATATAAACTCTAGACAGAAGCATTCTCAGAAGCGTCATTGGGATGTTTCAATTGAAGTCACAGTGTTGAAAAGTCCCTTTCATAGAGCAGGTTTGAAACACTCTTTTTGTAGTATCTGGATGTGGACATTTGGAGCGCTTTCAGGCCTATGGTTTAAAAGGAAATATCTTCCCCTGAAAACTAGACAGAAGCATTCTCAGAAACTTATTTGTGATGTGCGCCCTCAACTAACAGTGTTGAAGCTTTCTTTTGATAGAGCAGTTTTGAAACACTCTTTTTGTAATATCTGCAAGAGGATATTTGGATAGCTTTGAGGATTTCGTTGGAAACGGGATTAATTATAAAAAGCAGACAGCAGCATTCTCAGTAAACTTATTTGTGATGTGCGCCCTCAACTAACAGTGTTGAACCTTTCTTTTGATAGAGCAGTTTTGAAACACTCTTTTTGTAATATCTGCAAGAGGATATTTGGATAGCTTTGAGGATTTCGTTGGAAACGGGATTGTCTTCATATAAACTCTAGACAGAAGCATTCTCAGAAGCTTCATTGGGATGTTTCAATTGAAGTCACATGTTGAACAGTTCCTTTCAGAGAACAGGTTTGAAACACTCTTTTTCTAGTATCTGGAAGTGGACATTTGGAGCGCTCTCAGGACTACGGTGAAAAAGGAAATATCTTCCAATAAAAGCTACATAGAAGCAATGTCAGAAACTTTTTCATGATGTATCTACTCAACTAACAGAGTTGACCCTTTCCTTTGAGAGAGCAGTTGGGAAACACTCTTTTTGTGGAATCTGCAAGTGGATATTTGTCTAGCTTTGAGGATTTCGTTGGAAACGGGATTACATATAAAAAGCAGACAGCAGCATTCCCAGAAACTTCTTTGTGATGTTTGCATTCAAGTCACAGAGTTGAACATTCCCTTTCATAGAGCAGGTTTGAAACACTCTTTTTGTAGTATCTGGATGTGGACATTTGGAGCGCTTTCAGGCCTATGGTGAAAAAGGAAATATCTTCCCCTGAAAACTAGACAGAAGCATTCTCAGAAACTTATTTGTGATGTGCGACCTCAACTAACAGTGTTGAAGCTTTCTTTTGATAGAGCAGTTTTGAAACACTCTTTTTGTAAAATCTGCAAGAGGATATTTGGATAGCTTTGAGGATTTCGTTGGAAACGGGATTGTCTTCATATAAACTCTAGACAGAAGCATTCTCAGAAGCTTCATTGGGATGTTTCAATTGAAGTCACAGTGTTGAACAGTCCCTTTCATAGAGCAGGTTTGAAACACTCTTTTTGTAGTATCTGGATGTGGACATTTGGAGCGCTTTCAGGCCTATGGTGAAAAAGGAAATATCTTCCCCTGAAAACTAGACAGAAGCATTCTCAGAAACTTATTTGTGATGTGCGCCCTCAACTAACAGTGTTGAACCTTTCTTTTGATAGAGCAGTTTTGAAACACTCTTTTTGTAATATCTGCAAGAGGATATTTGGATAGCTTTGAGGATTTCGTTGGAAACGGGATTAATTATAAAAAGCAGACAGCAAGCATTCTCAGAATCTTATTTGTGATGTGCGCCCTCAACTAGCAGTGTTGAAACTTTCTTTTGATAGAGCAGTTTTGAAACACTCTTTTTGTAAAATCTGCAAGAGGATATTTGGATAGCTTTGAGGATTTCGTTGGAAACGGGATTGTCTTCATATAAAATCTGGACAGAAGCATTCTCAAAGGCTTCATTGGGATGTTTCAACTGAAGTCACAGTGTTGAACAGTCCCTTTCATAGAGCAGGTTTGAAACACTCTTTTGGTAGTATCTGGAAGTGGACATTTGGAGCGCTCTCAGGACTGCGGTGAAAAAGGAATTATCTTCCAATAAAAGCTAGATAGAAGCAATGTCAGAAACTTTTTCATGATGTATCTACTCAGCTAACAGAGTTGAACCTTCCTTTGAGAGAGCAGTTTTGAAACACTCTTTTTGTGGAATCTGCAAGTGGATATTTGTCTAGCTTTGAGGATTTCGTTGGAAACGAGATTACATATAAAAAGCAGACAGCAGCATTCCGAGAAACTTCTTTGTGATGTTTGCATTCAATTCACAGAGTTGAACATTCCCTTTCATAGAGCAGGTTTGAAACACTCTTTTTGTAGTATCTGGATGTGGACATTTGGAGCGCTTTCAGGCCTATGGTGAAAAAGGAAATATCTTCCCCTGAAAACTACACAGAAGCATTCTCAGAATCTTATTTGTGATGTGCGCCCTCAACTAACAGTGTTGAAGCTTTCTTTTGATAGAGCAGTTTTGAAATACTCTTTTTGTAAAATCTGCAAGAGGATATTTGGATAGCTTTGAGGATTTCGTTGGAAACGGGATTGTCTTCATATAAACTCTAGACAGAAGCATTCTCAGAAGCTTCATTGGGATGTTTCAATTGAAGTCACAGTGTTGAACAGTCCCTTTCATAGAGCACGTTTGAAACACTCTTTTTGTAGTATCTGGATGTGGACATTTGGAGCGCTTTCAGGCCTAAGGTTTAAAAGGAAATATCTTCCCCTGAAAACTAGACAGAAGCATTCTCAGAAACTTATTTGTGATGTGCGCCCTCAACTAACAGTGTTGAAGCATTCTTTTGATAGAGCAGTTTTGAAACACTCTTTTTGTGGAATCTGCAAGTGGATATTTGTCTAGCTTTGAGGATTTCGTTGGAAACGGGATTACATATAAAAAGCAGACAGCAGCATTCTCAGCAAACTTATTTGTGATGTGCGCCCTCAACTAACAGTGTGGAACTTTTCTTTTGATAGAGCAGTTTTGAAACACTCTTTTTGTAAAATCTGCAAGAGGATATTTGGATAGCTTTGAGGATTTCGTTGGAAACGGGATTGTCTTCATATAGAATCTAGACAGAAGCATTCTCAGAAGCTTCATTGGGATGTTTCAATTGAAGTCACAGTGTTGAACAGTCCCTTTCATAGAGCAGGTTTGAAACACTCTTTTTGTAGTATCTGTAAGTGGACATTTGGAGCGCTCTCAGGACTACGGTGAAAAAGGAAGTATCTTCCAATAAAAGCTAGGTAGAAGCAATGTCAGAAACTATTTCATGATGTATCTACTCAGCTAACAGAGTTGAACCTTTCTTTTGAGAGAGCAGTTTTGAAACACTCTTTTTGTGGAATCTGCAAGTGGATATTTGTCTAGCTTTGAGGATTTCGTTGGAAACGGGATTACATATAAAAAGCAGACAGCAGCATTCCCAGAATCTTGTTTGTGATGTTTGCATTCAAGTCACAGAGTTGAACATTCCCTTTCAGAGAGCAGGTTTGAAACACTCTTTTTATAGTATCTGGATGTGGACATTTGGAGCGCTTTCAGGCCTATGGTGAAAAAGGAAATATCTTCTCCTGAAAACTAGACAGAAGCATTCTCAGAAACTTATTTGTGATGTGCGCCCTCAACTAACAGTGTTGAAGCTTTCTTTTGATAGAGCAGTTTTGAAACACTCTTTTTGTAATATCTGCAAGAGGATATTTGGATAGCTTTGAGGATTTCGTTGGAAACGGGATTGTCTTCATATAAACTCTAGACAGAAGCATTCTCAGAAGCTTCATTGGGATGTTTCAATTGAAGTCACAGTGTTGAACAGTCCCTTTCATAGAGCAGGTTTGAAACACTCTTTTTGTAGTATCTGGATGTGGACATTTGGAGCGCTTTCAGGCCTATGGTTTAAAAGGAAATATCTTCCCCTGAAAACTAGACAGAAGCATTCTCAGAAACTTATTTGTGATGTGCGCCCTCAACTAACAGTGTTGAAGCTTTCTTTTGATAGAGCAGTTTTGAAACACTCTTTTTGTGGAATCTGCAAGTGGATATTTGTCTAGCTTTGAGGATTTCGTTGGAAACGGGATTACATATAAAAAGCAGACAGCAGCATTCTCAGAAACTTATTTGTGATGTGCGCCCTCAACTAACAGTGTTGAAGCTTTCTTTTGATAGAGCAGTTTTGAAACACTCTTTTTGTAATATCTGCAAGAGGATATTTGGATAGCTTTGAGGATTTCGTTGGAAACGGGATTAATTATACAAAGCAGACAGCAGCATTCTCAGAAGCTTCATTGGGATGTTTCAATTGAAGTCACAGTGTTGAACAGTCCCTTTCATAGAGCAGGTTTGAAACACTCTTTTTGTAGTATCTGGAAGTGGACATTTGGAACGCTCTCAGGACTGCGGTGAAAAAGGAAATATCTTCCAATAAAAGCTAGATAGAAGCAATGTCAGAAACTTTTTCATGATGTATCTACTCAGCTAACAGAGTTGAACCTTTCTTTTGAGAGAGCAGTTTTGAAACACTCTTTTTGTGGAATCTGCAAGTGGATATTTGTCTAGCTTTGAGGATTTCGTTGGAAACGGGATTACATATAAAAAGCAGACAGCAGCATTCCCAGAAACTTCTTTGTGAAGTTAGCATTCAAGTCACAGAGTTGAACATTCCCTTTCATAGAGCAGGTTTGAAACACTCTTTTTGTAGTATCTGGATATGGACATTTGGAGCGCTTTCAGGCCTAAGGTGAAAAAGGAAATATCTTCCCCTGAAAACTAGACAGAAGCATTCTCAGAAACTTATTTGTGATGTGCGCCCTCAACTAACAGTGTTGAAGCTTTCTTTTGATAGAGCAGTTTTGAAACACTCTTTTTGTAAAATCTGCAAGAGGATATTTGGATAGCTTTGAGGATTTCGTTGGAAACGGGATTGTCTTCATATACAATCTAGACAGAAGCATTCTCAGAAGCTTCATTGGGATGTTTCAATTGAAGTCACAGTGTTGAACAGTCCCTTTCATAGAGCAGGTTTGAAACACTCTTTTTGTAGTATCTGGATGTGGTCATTTGGAGCGCTTTCAGGCCTATGGTGAAAAAGGAAATATCTTCCCCTGAAAACTAGACAGAAGCATTCTCAGAAACTTATTTGTGATGTGCGCCCTCAACTAACAGTGTTGAAGCTTTCTTTTGATAGAGCAGTTTTGAAACACTCTTTTTGTGGAATCTGCAAGTGGATATTTGTCTAGCTTTGAGGATTTCGTTGGAAACGGGATTACATATAAAAAGCAGACAGCAGCATTCTCAGCAAACTTATTTGTGATGTGCGCCCTCAACTAACAGTGTGGAACTTTTCTTTTGATAGAGCAGTTTTGAAACACTCTTTTTGTAAAATCTGCAAGAGGATATTTGGATAGCTTTGAGGATTTCGTTGGAAACGGGATTGTCTTCATATAGAATCTAGACAGAAGCATTCTCAGAAGCTTCATTGGGATGTTTCAATTGAAGTCACAGTGTTGAACAGTCCCTTTCATAGAGCAGGTTTGAAACACTCTTTTTGTAGTATCTGGAAGTGGACATTTGGAGCGCTCTCAGGACTACGGTGAAAACGGAAATATCTTCCAATAAAAGCTACATAGAAGCAATGTCAGAAACTTTTTCATGATGTATCTACTCAGCTAACAGAGTTGAACCTTTCTTTTGAGAGAGCAGTTTTGAAACACTCTTTTTGTGGAATCTGCAAGTGGATATTTGTCTAGCTTTGAGGATTTCGTTGGAAACGGGATTACATATAAAAAGCAGACAGCAGCATTCCCAGAAACTTCTTTGTGAAGTTTGCATTCAAGTCACAGAGTTGAACATTCCCTTTCATAGAGCAGGTTTGAAACACTGTTTTTGTAGTATCTGGATGTGGACATTTGCAGCGCTTTCAGGCCTAAGGTGAAAAAGGAAATATCTTCCCCTGAAAACTAGACAGAAGCATTCTCAGAATCTTATTTGTGATGTGCGCCCTCAACTAACAGTGTTGAAGCTTTCTTTTGATAGAGCAGTTTTGAAACACTCTTTTTGTAAAATCTGCAAGAGGATATTTGGATAGCTTTGAGAATTTCGTTGGAAACGGGATTGTCTTCATATAAACTCTAGACAGAAGCATTCTCAGAAGCTTCATTGGGATGTTTCAATTGAAGTCACAGTGTTGAACAGTCCCTTTCATAGAGCAGGTTTGAAACACTCTTTTTGTAGTATCTGGATGTGGACATTTGGAGCGCTTTCAGGCCTATGGTGAAAAAGGAAATATCTTCCCCTGAAAACTAGACAGAAGCATTCTCAGAATCTTATTTGTGATGTGCACCCTCAACTAACAGTGTTGAAGCTTTCTTTTGATAGAGCAGTTTTGAAACACTCTTTTTGTGGAATCTGCAAGTGGATATTTGTCTAGTTTTGAGGATTTCGTTGGAAACGGGATTACATATAAAAAGCAGACAGCAGCATTCTCAGAAACTTATTTGTGATGTGCGCCCTCAACTAACAGTGTTGAAGCTTTCTTTTGATAGAGCAGTTTTGAAACACTCTTTTTGTAATATCTGCAAGAGGATATTTGGATAGCTTTGAGGATTTCGTTGGAAACGGGATTAATTATACAAAGCAGACAGCAGCATTCTCAGAAGCTTCATTGGGATGTTTCAATTGAACTCACAGTGTTGAACAGTCCCTTTCATAGAGCAGGTTTGAAACACTCTTTTTGTTGTATCTGGAAGTGGACATTTGGAGCGCTCTCAGGACTACGGTGAAAAAGGAAATATCTTCCAATAAAAGCTACATAGAAGCAATGTCAGAAACTTTTTCATGATGTATCTACTCAGCTAACAGAGTTGAACCTTTCTTTTGAGAGAGCAGTTTTGAAACACTCTTTTTGTGGAATCTGCAAGTGGATATTTATCTACCTTTGAGGATTTCGTTGGAAACGGGATTACATATAAAAAGCAGGCAGCAGCATTCCCAGAAACTTCTTTGTGATGTTTGCATTCAAGTCACAGAGTTGAACATTCCGTTTCATAGAGCAGGTTTGAAACACTCTTTTTGTAGTATCTGGATTTGGACATTTGGAGCGCTTTCAGGCCTATGGTGAAAAAGGAAATATCTTTCCCTGAAAACTAGACAGAAGTATTCTCAGAAACTTATTTGTGATGTGCGCCCTCAACTAACAGTGTTGAAGCTTTCTTTTGATAGAGCAGTTTTGAAACATTCTTTTTGTAAAATCTGCAAGAGGATATTTGGATAGGTTTGAGGATTTCGTTGGAAACGGGATTGTCTTCATATTAACCCTAGACAGTAGCATTCTCAGAAGCGTCATTGGGATGTTTCAATTGAAGTCACAGTGTTGAACAGTCCCTTTCATAGAGCAGGTTTGAAACACTCTTTTTGTAGTATCTGGATGTGGACATTTGGAGCGCTTTCAGGCCTATGGTTTAAAAGGAAATATCTTCCCCTGAAAACTAGACAGAAGCATTCTCAGAAACTTATTTGTGATGTGCGCCCTCAACTAACAGTGTTGAAGCTTTCTTTTGATAGAGCAGTTTTGAAACACTCTTTTTGTGGAATCTGCAAGTGGATATTTGTCTAGCTTTGAGGATTTCGTTGGAAACGGGATTACATATAAAAAGCAGACAGCAGCATTCTCAGTAAACTTATTTGTGATGTGCGCCCTCAACTAACAGTGTTGAACCTTTCTTTTGATAGAGCAGTTTTGAAACACTCTTTTTGTAATATCTGCAAGAGGATATTTGGATAGCTTTGAGGATTTCGTTGGAAACGGGATTGTCTTCATATAAACTCTAGACAGAAGCATTCCCAGTAACTTCTTTGTGAGGTTTGCATTCAAGTGACAGAGTTGAACATTCCCTTTCATAGAGCAGGTTTGAAACACTCTTTTTGTAGTATCTGGATGTGGACATTTTGAGAGATCACAGGAATACGGTGATAAAGGAAATATCTTCCAATAAAAGCTAGATAGAAGCAATGTCAGAAACTTTTTCATGATGTATCTACTCAGCTAACAGAGTTGAACCTTTCTTTTGAGAGAGCAGTTTTGAAACACTCTTTTTGTGGAATCTGCAAGTGGATATTTCTCTAGCTTTGAGGATTTCGTTGGAAACGGGATTACATATAAAAAGCAGACAGCAGCATTCCCAGAAACTTCTTTGTGATGTTTGCATTCAAGTCACAGAGTTGAACATTCCCTTTCATAGAGCAGGTTTGAAACACTCTTTTTGTAGTATCTGGATGTGGACATTTGGAGCGCTTTCAGGCCTAAGGTGAAAAAGGAAATATCTTCCCCTGAAAACTAGACAGAAGCATTCTCAGAAACTTATTTGTGATGTGCGCCCTCAACTAACAGTGTTGAAGCATTCTTTTGATAGAGCAGTTTTGAAACACTCTTTTTGTAAAATCTGCAAGAGGATATTTGGATAGCTTTGAGGATTTCGTTGGAAACGGGATTGTCTTCATATAAACTCTAGACAGAAGCATTCACAGAAGCCTCATTGGGATGTTTCAATTGAAGTCACAGTGTTGAACAGTCCCTTTCATAGAGCAGGTTTGAAACACTCTTTTTGTAGTATCTGGATGTGGACATTTGGAGCGCTTTCAGGCCTATGGTGAAAAAGGAAATATCTTCCTCTGAAAACTAGACAGAAGCATTCTCAGAAACTTATTTGTGATGTGCGCCCTCAACTAACAGTGTTGAAGCATTCTTTTGATAGAGCAGTTTTGAAACACTCTTTTTGTGGAATCTGCAAGTGGATATTTGTCTAGCTTTGAGGATTTCGTTGGAAACGGGATTACATATAAAAAGCAGACAGCAGCATTCTCAGAAACTTATTTGTGATGTGCGCCCTCAACTAACAGTGTTGAAGCTTTCTTTTGATAGAGCAGTTTTGAAACACTCTTTTTGTAATATCTGCAAGAGGATATTTGGATAGCTTTGAGGATTTCGTTGGAAACGGGATTAATTATACAAAGCAGACAGCAGCATTCTCAGAAGCTTCATTGGGATGTTTCAATTGAAGTCACAGTGTTGAACAGTCCCTTTCATAGAGCAGGTTTGAAAAACTCATTTTGTAGTATCTGGAAGTGGACATTTGGAGCGCTCTCAGGACTACGGTGAAAAAGGAAATATCTTCCAATAAAAGCTAGATAGAAGCAATGTCAGAAAATTTTTCATGAGGTATCTACTCAGCTAACAGAATTGAACCTTTCTTTTGAGAGAGCAGTTTTGAAACACTCTTTTTGTGGAATCTGCAGGTGGATATTTGTCTAGCTTTGAGGATTTCGTTGGAAACGGGATTACATATAAAAAGCAGACAGCAGCATTCCCAGTAACTTCTTTGTGATGTTTTCATTCAAGTCACAGAGTTGAACATTCCCTTTCATAGAGCAGGTTTGAAACTCTCTTTTTGTAGTATCTGGATGTGGACATTTGGAGCGCTTTCAGGCCTATGGTGAAAAAGGAAATATCTTCCCCTGAAAACTAGACAGAAGAATTCTCAGAATCTTATTTGTGATGTGCGCCCTCAACTAACAGTGTTGAAGCTTTCTTTTGATAGAGCAGTTTTGAAACACTCTTTTTGTAAAATCTGCAAGAGGATATTTGGATAGCTTTGAGGATTTCGTTGGAAACGGGATTGTCTTCATATAAACTCTAGACAGAAGCATTCTCAGAAGCTTCATTGGGATGTTTCAATTGAAGTCACAGTGTTGAACAGTCCCTTTCATAAAGCAGGTTTCAAACACTCTTTTTGTAGTATCTGGATGTGGACATTTGGAGCGCTTTCAGGCCTATGGTTTAAAAGGAAATATCTTCCCCTGAAAACTAGACAGAAGCATTCTCAGAATCTTATTTGTGATGTGCGCCCTCAACTAACAGTGTTGAAGCTTTCTTTTGATAGAGCAGTTTTGAAACACTCTTTTTGTGGAATCTGCAAGTGGATATTTGTCTAGCTTTGAGGATTTCGTTGGAAACGGGATTACATATACAAAGCAGACAGCAGCATTCTCAGAAACTTATTTGTGATGTGCGCCCTCAACTAACAGTGTTGAAGCTTTCTTTTGATAGAGCAGTTTTGAAACACTCTTTTTGTAATATCTGCAAGAGGATATTTGGATAGCTTTGAGGATTTCGTTGGAAACGGGATTAATTATACAAAGCAGACAGCAGCATTCTGAGAAGCTTCATTGGGATGTTTCAATTGAAGTCACAGTGTTGAACAGTCCCTTTCATAGAGCAGGTTTGAAACACTCTTTTTGTAGCATCTGGAAGTGGACAGTTGGAGCGCTCTCAGGACTACGGTGAAAAAGGAAATATCTTCCAATAAAAGCTAGATAGAAGCAATGTGAGAAACTTTTTCATGATGTATCTACTCAGCTAACAGAGTTGAACCTTTCCTTTGAGAGAGCAGTTTTGAAACACTCTTTTTGTGGAATCTGCAAGTGGATATTTGTCTAGCTTTGAGGATTTCGTTGGAAACGGGATTACATATAAAAAGCAGACAGCAGCATTCCAGGTAACTTCTTTGTGATGTTTGCATTCAAGTCACAGAATTGAACATTCCCTTTCATAGAGCAGGTTTGAAACACTCTGTTTGTAGTATCTGGATGTGGACATTTGGAGCGCTTTCAGGCCTATGGTGAAAAAGGAAATATCTTCCCCTGAAAACTAGACAGAAGCATTCTCAGAAACTTATTTGTGATGTGCGCCCTCAACTAACAGTGTTGAACCTTTCTTTTGATAGAGCAGTTTTGAAACACTCTTTTTGTAATATCTGCAAGAGGATATTTGGATAGCTTTGAGGATTTCGTTGGAAACGGGATTACATATAAAAAGCAGACAGCAGCATTCTCAGCAAACTTATTTGTGATGTGCGCCCTCAACTAACAGTGTGGAACTTTTCTTTTGATAGAGCAGTTTTGAAACACTCTTTTTGTAAAATCTGCAAGAGGATATTTGGATAGCTTTGAGGATTTCGTTGGAAACGGGATTGTCTTCATATAGAATCTAGACAGAAAGCATTCTCAGAAGCTTCATTGGGATGTTTCAATTGAAGTCACAGTGTTGAAAAGTCCCTTTCATAGAGCAGGTTTGAAACACTCTTTTTGTAGTACCTGGAAATGGACATTTGGAGAGATCTCAGGACTACGGTGAAAAAGGAAATATCTTCCAATAAAAGCTACATAGAGCAATGTCAGAAACTTTTTCATGATGTATCTACTCAGCTAACAGAGTTGAACCTTCCTTTGAGAGAGCAGTTTTGAAACACTCTTTTTGTGGAATCTGCAAGTGGATATTTGTCTAGCTTTGAGGATTTCGTTGGAAACGGGTTACATAGAAAAAGCAGACAGCAGCATTCCCAGTAACTTCTTTGTGATGTTTGCATTCAAGTCAGAGAGTTGAACATTCCCTTTCATAGAGCAGGTTTGAAAGACTCTTTTTGAAGTATCTGGATGTGGACATTTGGAGCGTTTTCAGGCCTATGGTGAAAAAGGAAATATCTTCCCCTGAAAACTAGACAGAAGCATTCTCAGAATCTTATTTGTGATTAGCGCCCTCAACTAACAGTGTTGAAGCTTTCTTTTGATAGAGCAGTTTTGAAACACTCTTTTTGTAATATCTGCAAGAGGATATTTGGATAGCTTTGAGGATTTCGTTGGAAACGGGATTGTCTTCATATAAACTCTAGACAGAAGCATTCTCAGAAGCTTCATTGGGATGTTTCAATTGAAGTCACAGTGTTGAACAGTCCCTTTCATAGAGCAGGTTTGAAACACTCTTTTTGTAGTATCTGGATGTGGACATTTGGAGCGCTTTCAGGCCTATGGTGAAAAAGGAAATATCTTCCCCTGAAAACTAGACAGAAGCATTCTCAGAAACTTATTTGTGATGTGCGCCCTCAACTACCAGTGTTGAAGCATTCTTTTGATAGAGCAGTTTTGAAACACTCTTTTTGTGGAATCTGCAAGTGGATATTTGTCTAGCTTTGAGGATTTCGTTGGAAACGGGATTACATATAAAAAGCAGACAGCAGCATTCTCAGAAACTTATTTGTGATGTGCGCCCTCAACTAACAGTGTTGAAGCTTTCTTTTGATAGAGCAGTTTTGAAACACTCTTTTTGTAATATCTGCAAGAGGATATTTGGATAGCTTTGAGGATTTCGTTGGAAACGGGATTAATTATACAAAGCAGACAGCAGCATTCTCAGCAGCTTCATTGGGATGTTTCAATTGAAGTCACAGTGTTGAACAGTCCCTTTCTTAGAGCAGCTTTGAAACACTCTTTTTGTAGCATCTGGAAGTGGACATTTGGAGCGTTCTCAGGACTACGGTGAAAAAGGAAATATCTTCCAATAAAAGCTAGATAGAAGCAATGTCAGAAACTTTTTCATGATGTATCTACTCAGCTAACAGAGTTGAACCTTCCTTTGAGAGAGCAGTTTTGAAACACTCTTTTTGTGGGATCTGCAAGTGGATATTTGTCTAGCTTTGAGGATTTCGTTGGAAACGGGATTACATATAAAAAGCAGACAGCAGCATTCCCAGAAACTTCTTTGTGATGTTTGCATTCAAGTCACAGAGTTGAACATTCCCTTTCATAGAGCAGGTTTGAAACACTCTTTTTGTAGTATCTGGATGTGGACATTTGGAGCGCTTTCAGGCCTATGGTGAAAAAGGAAATATCTTCCCCTGAAAACTAGACAGAAAGCATTCTCAGCAAACTTATTTGTGATGTGCGCCCTCAACTAACAGTGTTGAAGCTTTCTTTTGATAGAGCAGTTTTGAAACACTCTTTTTGTAAAATCTGCAAGAGGATATTTGGATAGCTTTGAGGATTTCGTTGGAAACGGGATTGTCTTCATATAAACTCTAGACAGAAGCATTCCCATTAACTTCTTTGTGATGTTTGCATTCAAGTCACAGAGTTGAACATTCCCTTTCATAGAGCAGGTTTGAAACACTCTTTTTGTAGTATCTGGATGTGGACATTTGGAGCGCTTTCAGGCCTATGGTGAAAAAGGAAATATCTTCCCCTGAAAACTAGACAGAAGCATTCTCAGAAACTTATTTGTGATGTGCACCCTCAACTAACAGTGTTGAACCTTTCTTTTGATAGAGCACTTTTGAAACACTCTTTTTGTAATATCTGCAAGAGGATATTTGGATAGCTTTGAGGATTTCGTTGGAAACGGGATTACATATAAAAAGCAGACAGCAGCATTCTCTGAATCTTATTTGTGATGTGCGCCCTCAACTAACAGTGTTGAAGCTTTCTTTTGATAGAGCAGTTTTGAAACACTCTTTTTGTAAAATCTGCAAGAGGATATTTGGATAGCTTTGAGGATTTCGTTGGAAACGGGATTGTCTTCATATAAACTCTAGGCAGAAGCATTCTCAGAAGCTTCATTGGGATGTTTCAATTGAAGTCACAGTGTTGAACAGTCCCTTTCATAGAGCAGGTTTGAAACACTCTTTTTGTAGTATCTGGAAGTGGACATTTGGAGCGCTCTCAGGACTACGGTGAAAAAGGAAGTATCTTCCAATAAAAGCTAGATAGAAGCAATGTCAGAAACTTTTTCATGATGTATCTACTCAGCAAACAGAGTTGAACCTTTCTTTTGAGAGAGCAGTTTTGAAACACTCTTTTTGTGGAATCTGCAAGTGGATATTTGTCTAGCTTTGAGGATTTCGTTGGAAACGGGATTACATATAAAAAGCAGACAGCAGCATTCCCAGTAACTTCTTTGTGATGTTTGCATTCAAGTCACAGAGTTGAACACTCCCTTTCATAGAGCAGGTTTGAAACACTCTTTTTGTAGTATCTGGATGTGGACATTTGGAGCGCTTTCAGGCCTATGGTGAAAAAGGAAATATCTTCCCCTGAAAACTAGACAGAAGCATTCTCAGAAACTTATTTGTGATCTGCGCCCTCAACTAACAGTGTTGAAGCTTTCTTTTGATAGAGCAGTTTTGAAACACTCTTTTTGTAATATCTGCAAGAGGATATTTGGATAGCTTTGAGGATTTCGTTGGAAACGGGATTGTCTTCATATAAACTCTAGACAGAAGCATTCTCAGAAGCTTCATTGGGATGTTTCAATTGAAGTCACAGTGTTGAACAGTCCCTTTCATAGAGTAGGTTTGAAACACTCTTTTTGTAGTATCTGGATGTGGACATTTGGAGCGCTTTGAGGCCTATGGTTTAAAAGGAAATATCTTCCCCTGAAAACTAGACAGAAGCATTCTCAGAAACTTATTTGTGATGTGCGCCCTCAACTAACGGTGTTGAAGCATTCTTTTGATAGAGCAGTTTTGAAACACTCTTTTTGTGGAATCTGCAAGTGGATATTTGTCTAGCTTTGAGGATTTCGTTGGAAACGGGATTACATATAAAAAGCAGACAGCAGCATTCTCAGTAAACTTATTTGTGATGTGCGCCCTCAACTAACAGTGTTGAACCTTTCTTTTGATAGAGCAGTTTTGAAACACTCTTTTTGTAATATCTGCAAGAGGATATTTGGATAGCTTTGAGGATTTCGTTGGAAACGGGATTGTCTTCATATAAACTCTAGACAGAAGCATTCTCAGAAGCTTCATTCGGATGTTTCAATTGAAGTCACAGTGTTGAACAGTCCCTTTCATAGAGCAGGTTTGAAACACTCTTTTTGTAGTATCTGGAAGTGGACATTTGGAGCGTTCTCAGGACTACAGTGAAAAAGGAAATATCTTCCAATAAAAGCTAGATAGAAGCAATGTCAGAAAATTTTTCATGATGTATCTACTCAGCTAACAGAGGTGAACCTTTCTTTGGAGAGAGTAGTTTTGAAACACTCTTTTTGTGGAATCTGCAAGTGGATATTTGTCTAGTTTTGAGGATTGCGTTGGAAACGGTATTACATATAAAAAGCAGACAGCAGCATTCCCAGAAACGTCTTTGTGATGTTTGCATTCAAGTCACAGAGTTGAACATTCCCTTTCATAGAGCAGGTTTGGAACACTCTTTTTGTAGTATCTGGATGTGGACATTTGGAGCGCTTTCAGGCCTATGGTGAAAAAGGAAATATCTTCCCCTGAAAACTAGACAGAAGCGTTCTCAGAATCTTATTTGTGATGTGCGCCCTCAACTAACAGTGTTGAAGCTTTCTTTTGATAGAGCAGTTTTGAAACACTCTTTTTGTAAAATCTGCAAGAGGATATTTGGATAGCTTTGAGGATTTCGTTGGAAACGGGATTGTCTTCATATAAACTCTAGACAGAGGCATTCCCAGAAACTTCTTTGTGATGTTTGCATTCAAGTCACAGAGTTGAACATTCCTTTTCATAGAGCAGGTTTGAAACACTCTTTTTGTAGTGTCTGGATGTGGACATTTGCAGCGCTTTCAGGCCTAAGGTGAAAAAGGAAATATCTTCCCCTGAAAACTAGACAGAAGCATTCTCAGAAACTTATTTGTGATGTGCGCCCTCAACTAACAGTGTTGAAGCTTTCTTTTGATAGAGCAGTTTTGAAACACTCTTTTTGTGGCATCTGCAAGTGGATATTTGTCTAGCTTTGAGAATTTCGTTTGAAACGGGATTACATATAAAAAGCAGACAGCAGCATTCTCAGTAAACTTATTTGTGATGTGCGCCCTCAACTAACAGTGTTGAACCTTTCTTTTGATAGAGCAGTTTTGAAACACTCTTTTTGTAATATCTGCAAGAGGATATTTGGATAGCTTTGAGGATTTCGTTGGAAACGGGATTGTCTTCATATAAACTCTAGACAGAAGCATTCTCAGAAGCTTCATTGGGATGTTTCAATTGAAGTCACAGTGTTGAACAGTTCCTTTCATAGAACAGGTTTGAAACACTCTTTTTGTAGTATCTGGAAGTGGACATTTGGAGCGCTCTCAGGACTACGGTGAAAAAGGAAATATCTTCCAATAAAAGCTACATAGAAGCAATGTCAGAAACTTTTTCATGATGTATCTACTCAGCTAACAGAGTTGAACCTTTCTTTTGAGAGAGCAGTTTTGAAACACTCTTTTTGTGGAATCTGGAAGTGGATATTTGTCTAGCTTTGAGGATTTCGTTGGAAACGGGATTACATATAAAAAGCAGACAGCTGCATTCCCAGAAACTTCTTTGTGATGTTTGCATTCAAGTCACAGAGTTGAACATTCCCTTTCATAGAGCAGGCTTGAAACACTCTTTTTGTAGTATCTGGATGTGGACATTTGGAGCGCTTTCAGGCCTATGTTGAAAAAGGAAATATCTTCCCCTGAAAACTAGACAGAAGCATTCTCAGAATCTTATTTGTGATGTGCGCCCTCAACTAACAGTGTTGAAGCTTACTTTTGATAGAGCAGTTTTGAAACACTCTTTTTGTGGAATCTGCAAGTGGATATTTGTCTAGCTTTGAGGATTTCGTTGGAAACGGGATTACATATAAAAAGCAGACAGCTGCATTCCCAGAAACTTCTTTGTGATGTTTGCATTCAAGTCACAGAGTTGAACATTCCCTTTCATAGAGCAGGCTTGAAACACTCTTTTTGTAGTATCTGGATGTGGACATTTGGAGCGCTTTCAGGCCTATGGTGAAAAAGGAAATATCTTCCCCTGAAAACTAGACAGAAGCATTCTCAGAATCTTATTTGTGATGTGCACCCTCAACTAACAGTGTTGAAGCTTTCTTTTGATAGAGCAGTTTTGAAACACTCTTTTCGTAAAATCTGCAAGAGGATATTTGGATAGCTTTGAGGATTTCGTTGGAAACGGGATTGACTTCATATAAACTCTAGACAGAAGCATTCTCAGAAGCTTCATTGGGATGTTTCAATTGAAGTCACAGTGTTGAACAGTCCCTTTCATAGAGCAGGTTTGAAACACTCTTTTTGTAGTATCTGGATGTGGACATTTGGAGCGCTTTCAGGCCTATGGTGAAAAAGGAAATATCTTCCCCTGAAAACTAGACAGAAGCATTCTCAGAAACTTATTTGTGATGTGCGCCCTCAACTAACAGTGTTGAAGCATTCTTTTGATAGAGCAGTTTTGAAACACTGTTTTTGTGGAATCTGGAAGTGGATATTTGTCTAGCTTTGAGGATTTCGTTGGAAACGGGATTACATATAAAAAGCAGACAGCAGCATTCTCAGAAACTTATTTGTGATGTGCGCCCTCAACTAACAGTGTTGAAGCTTTATTTTGATAGAGCAGTTTTGAAACACTCTTTTTGTAATATCTGCAAGAGAATATTTGGATAGCTTTGAGGATTTCGTTGGAAACGGGATTGTCTTCATATAAACTCTAGAAAGAAGCATTCTCAGAAGCTTCTTTGGGATGTTTCAATTGAAGTCACAGTGTTGAACAGTTCCTTTCATAGAACAGGTTTGAAACACTCTTTTTGTAGTATCTGGAAGTGGACATTTGGAGCGCTCTCAGGACTATGGTGAAAAAGGAAATATCTTCCAATAAAAGCTACATAGAAGCAATGTCAGAAACATTTTCATCATGTATCTACTCAGCTAACAGAGTTGAACCTTTCTTTTGAGAGAGCAGTTTTGAAACACTCTTTTTGTGGAATCTGCAAATGGATATTTGTCTAGCTTTAAGGATTTCATTGGAAACGGGATTACATATAAAAAGCAGACAGCAGCATTCCCAGAAACTTCTTTGTGATGTTTGCATTCAAGTCACAGAGTTGAACATTCCGTTTCATGGAGCAGGTTTGAAACACTCTTTTTGTAGTATCTGGATGTGGACATTTGGAGCGCTTTCAGGCCTATGGTGAAAAAGGAAATATCTTCCCCTGAAAACTAGACAGAAGCATTCTCAGAATCTTATTTGTGATGTGCGCCCTCAACTAACAGTGTTGAAGCTTTCTTTTGATAGAGCAGTTTTGAAACACTCTTTTTGTAAAATCTGCAAGAGGATATTTGGATAGCTTTGAGGATTTCGTTGGAAACGGGATTGTCTTCATATAAACTCTAGACAGAAGCATTCTCAGAAGCTTCATTGGGATGTTTCAATTGAAGTCACAGTGTTGAACAGTCCCTTTCATAGAGCAGGTTTGAAACACTCTTTTTGTAGTATCTGGATGTGGACATTTGGAGTGCTTTCAGGCCTATGGTTTAAAAGGAAATATCTTCCCCTGAAAACTGGACAGAAGCATTCTCAGAAACTTATTTGTGATGTGCGCCCTCAAC
This sequence comes from Homo sapiens, assembly GCF_000001405.40. NCBI lineage: Eukaryota > Metazoa > Chordata > Mammalia > Primates > Hominidae > Homo > Homo sapiens. The sequence goes on from NC_000002.12 coordinate 94,083,628, forward strand.
TAACAGTGTTGAAGCATTCTTTTGATAGAGCAGTTTTGAAACACTCTTTTTGTGGAATCTGCAAGTGGATATTTGTCTAGCTTTGAGGATTTCGTTGGAAACGGGATTACATATAAAAAGCAGACAGCTAAGCATTCTCCGAAACTTATTTGTGATGGGCGCCCTCAACTAACAGTGTTGAAGCTTTCTTTTGATAGAGCAGTTTTGAAACACTCTTTTTGTAATATCTGCAAGAGGATATTTGGATAGCTTTCAGGATTTCGTTGGAAACGGGATTGTCTTCATATAAACTCTAGACATAAGCATTCTCAGAAAGCTTCATTGGGATGTTTCAGTTGAAGTCACAGTGTTGAACAGTCCCTTTCATAGAGCAGGTTTGAAACACTCTTTTTGTAGTATCTGGAAGTTGACATTTGGAGCGCTCTCAGGACTACGGTGAAAAAGGAAATGTCTTCCAATAAAAGCTAGATAGAAGCAATGTCAGAAACTTTTTCATGATGTATCTACTCAGCTAACAGAGTTGAACCTTTCTTTTGAGAGAGCAGTTTTGAAACACTCTTTTTGTGGAATCTGCAAGTGGATAATTGTCTAGCTTTGAGGATTTCGTTGGAAACGGGATTACATATAAAAAGCAGACAGCAGCATTCCCAGTAACTTCTTCGTGGTGTTTGCATTCAAGTCACAGAGTTGAACATTCCCTTTCATAGAGCAGGTTTGAAACACTCTTTTTGTAGTATCTGGATGTGGACATTTGGAGCGCTTTCAGGCCTATGGTGAAAAAGGAAATATCTTCCCCTGAAAACTAGACAGAAGCATTCTCAGAATCTTATTTGTGATGTGCGCCCTCAACTAACAGTGTTGAAGCTTTCTTTTGATAGAGCAGTTTTGAAACACTCTTTTTGTAAAATCTGCAAGAGGATATTTGGATAGCTTTGAGGATTTCTTTGGAAACGGGATTGTCTTCATATAAACTCTAGACAGAAGCATTCTCAGAAGCTTCATTGGGATGTTTCAATTGAAGTCACAGTGTTGAACAGTCCCTTTCATAGAGCAGGTTTGAAACACTCTTTTTGTAGTATCTGGAAGTGGACATTTGGAGAGATCTCAGGAATACGGTGATAAAGGAAATATCTTCCAATAAAAGCTAGATAGAAGAAATGTGAGAAAGTTTTTCATGATGTATCTACTCAGCTAAAAGAGTTGAACCTTTCTTTTGAGAGAGCAGTTTTGAAACACTCTTTTTGTGGAATCTGCAAGTGGATATTTGTCTAGCTTTGAGGATTTCGTTGGAAACGGGATTACATATAAAAAGCAGACAGCAGCATTCCCAGAAACTTCTTTGTGATGTTTGCATTCAAGTCACAGAGTTGAACATTCCCTTTCATAGAGCAGGTTTGAAACACTCTTTTTGTAGTATCTGGATGTGGACATTTGGAGTGCTTTCAAGCCTATGGTGAAAAAGGAAATATCTTCCCCTGAAAACTAGACAGAAGCATTCTCAGAAACTTATTTGTGATGTGCGCCCTCAACTAACAGTGTTGAAGCTTTCTTTTGATAGAGCAGTTTTGAAACACTCTTTTTGTAATATCTGCAAGAGGATATTTGGATAGATTTGAGGATTTCGTTGGAAACGGGATTGTCTTCATATAAACTCTAGACAGAAGCATTCTCAGAAGCTTCATTGGTATGTTTCAATTGAAGTCACAGTGTTGAACAGTTCCTTTCATAGAACAGGTTTGAAACACTCTTTTTGTAGTATCTGGAAGTTGACATTTGGAGCGCTCTCAGGACTACGGTGAAAAAGGAAATATCTTCCAATAAAAGCTAGATAGAAGCAATGTCAGAAACATTTTCATGATGTATCTACTCAGCTAACAGAGTTGAAACTTTCTTTTGAGAGAGCAGTTTTGAAACACTCTTTTGGTGGAATCTGCAAGTGGATATTTGTCTAGCTTTGAGGAGTTCGTTGGAAACGGGATTACATATAAAAAGCAGACAGCAGCATTCCCAGAAACTTCTTTGTGATGTTTGCATTCAAGTCACAGAGTTGAACATTCCCTTTCATAGAGCAGGTTTGAAACACTCTTTTTGTAGTATCTGGATGTGGACATTTGGAGCGCTTTCAGGCCTATGGTGAAAAAGGAAATATCTTCCCCTGAAAACTAGACAGAAGCATTCTCAGAAACTTATTTGTGATGTGCGCCCTCAACTAACAGTGTTGAACCTTTCTTTTGATAGGGCAGTTTTGAAGCACTCTTTGTGTAAAATCTGCAAGAGGATATTTGGATAGCTTTGAGGATTTCGTTAGAAACGGGATTGTCTTCATATAAACTCTAGACAGAAGCATTCTCAGAAGCTTCATTGGGATGTTTCAATTGAAGTCACAGTGTTGAACAGTCCCTTTCATAGAGCAGGTTTGAAACACTCTTTTTGTAGTATCTGGAAGTGGACATTTGGAGCGCTTTCAGGCCTATGGTTTAAAAGGAAATATCTTCCCCTGAAAACTAGACAGAAGCATTCTCAGAAACTTATTTGTGATGTGCGCCCTCAACTAACAGTGTTGAAGCATTCTTTTGATAGAGCAGTTTTGAAACACTCTTTTTGTGGAATCTGCAAGTGGATATTTGTCTAGCTTTGAGGATTTCGTTGGAAACGGGATTACATATGAAAAGCAGACAGCAGCATTCTCAGTAAACTTATTTGTGATGTGCGCCCTCAACTAACAGTGTTGAACCTTTCTTTTGATAGAGCAGTTTTGAAACACTCTTTTTGTAATATCTGCAAGAGGATATTTGGATAGCTTTGAGGATTTCGTTGGAAACGGGATTGTCTTCATATAAACTCTAGACAGAAGCATTCTCAGAAGCTTCATTGGGATGTTTCAATTGAATTCACAGTGTTGAACAGTCCCTTTCATAGAGCAGGTTTGAAACACTCTTTTTGTAGTATCTGGAAGTGGACCTTTGGAGCGCTCTCAGGACTGCAGTGAAAAAGGAAATATCTTCCAATAAAAGGTAGATAGAAGCAATGTCAGAAACTTTTTCATGATGTATCTACTCAGCTAACAGAGTTGAACCTTCCTTTGAGAGAGCAGTTTTGAAACACTCGTTTTGTGGAATCTGCAAGTGGATATTTGTCTAGCTTTGAGGATTTCGTTGGAAACGGGATTACATATAAAAAGCAGACAGCAGCATTCCCAGTAATCTTGTTTGTGATGTTTGCATTCAAGTCACAGAGTTGAACATTCCCTTTCAGAGAGCAGGTTTGAAACACTCTTTTTATAGTATCTGGATGTGGACATTTGGAGCGCTTTCAGGCCTATGGTGAAAAAGGAAATATCTTCTCCTGAAAACTAGACAGAAGTATTCTCAGAAACTTATTTGTGATGTGCGCCCTCAACTAACAGTGTTGAAGCTTTCTTTTGATAGAGCAGTTTTGCAACATTCTTTTTGTAAAATCTGCAAGAGGATATTTGGATAGCTTTGAGGATTTCGTTGGAAACGGGATTGTCTTCATATTAACCCTAGGCAGTACCATTCTCAGAAGCTTCATTGGGATGTTTCAATTGAAGTCACAGTGTTGAACAGTCCCTTTCATAGAGCAGGTTTGAAACACTCTTTTTGTAGCATCTGGAAGTGGACATTTGGAGCGTTCTCAGGACTACGGTGAAAAAGGAAATATCTTCCAATAAAAGCTAGATAGAAGCAATATCAGAAACTTTTTCATGATGTATCTACTCAGCTAAAAGAGTTGAACCTTTCTTTTGAGAGAGCAGTTTTGAAACACTCTTTTTGTGGAATCTGCAAGTGGATATTTGTCTAGCTTTGAGGATTTCGTTGGAAACGGGATTACATATAAAAAGCAGACAGCAGCATTCCCAGAAACTTCTTTGTGATGTTTGCATTCAAGTCACAGAGTGGAACATTCCCTTTCATAGAGCAGGTTTGAAACACTCTTTTTGTAGTTTCTGGATGTGGACATTTAGAGCGCTTTCAGGCCTAAGGTGAAAAAGGAAATATCTTCCCCTGAAAACTAGACAGAAGCATTCTCAGAAACTTATTTGTGATGTGCGCCCTCAACTAACAGTGTTGAAGCTTTCTTTTGATAGAGCAGTTTTGAAACACTCTTTTTGTAATATCTGCAAGAGGATATTTGGATAGCTTTGAGGATTTCGTTGGAAACGGGATTGTCTTCATATAAACTCTAGACAGAAGCATTCTCAGAAGCGTCATTGGGATGTTTCAATTGAAGTCACAGTGTTGAACAGTCCCTTTCATAGAGCAGGTTTGAAACACTCTTTTTGTAGTATCTGGATGTGGACATTTGGAGCGCTTTAAGCCTATGGTTTAAAAGGAAATATCTTCCCCTGAAAACTAGACAGAAGCATTCTCAGAAACTTATTTGTTATGTGCGCCCTCAACTAACAGTGTTGAACCTTTCTTTTGATAGAGCAGTTTTGAAACACTCTTTTTGTAATATCTGCAAGAGGATATTTGGATAGCTTTGAGGATTTCGTTGGAAACGGGATTACTTATAAAAAGCAGACAGCAGCATTCTCAGAAACTTATTTGTGATGTGCGCCCTCAACTAACAGTGTTGAAGCTTTATTTTGATAGAGCAGTTTTGAAACACTCTTTTTGTAATATCTGCAAGAGAATATTTGGATAGCTTTGAGGATTTCGTTGGAAACGGGATTGTCTTCATATAAACTCTAGAAAGAAGCATTGTCAGAAGCTTCATTGGGATGTTTCAATTGAAGTCACAGTGTTGAACAGTCCCTTTCATAGAGCAGGTTTCAAACACTCTTTTTGTAGTATCTGGAAGGGGACATTTGGAGCGCTCTCAGGACTACGGGGATAAAGGAAATATCTTCCAATAAAAGCTAGATAGAAGCAATGTCAGAAACTTTTTCATGATGTATCTACTCAGCTAACAGAGTTGAACCTTTCTTTTGAGAGAGCAGTTTTGAAACACTCTTTTTGTGGAATCTGCAAGTGGATATTTGTCTAGCATTGAGGATTTCGTTGGAAACGGGATTACATATAAAAAGCAGACAGCAGCATTCCCAAAAACTTCTTTGTGATGTTTGCATTCAAGTCACAGAGTTGAACATTCCCTTTCATAGAGCAGGTTTGAAACACTCTTTTTGTAGTATCTGGATGTGGACATTTGCAGCGCTTTCAGGCCTAAGGTGAAAAAGGAAATATCTTCCCCTGAAAACTAGACAGAAGCATTCTCAGAATCTTATTTATGATGTGCGCCCTCAACTAACAGTGTTGAAGCTTTCTTTTGATAGAGCAGTTTTGAAACACTCTTTTTGTAAAATCTGCAAGAGGATATTTGCATAGCTTTGAGGATTTCATTGGAAACGGGATTGTCTTCATATAAACTGTAGACAGAAGCATTCTCAGAAGCTTCATTGGGATGTTTCAATTGAAGTCACAGTGTTGAACAGTCCCTTTCATAGAGCAGGTTTGAAACACTCTTTTTGTAGTATCTGGATGTGGACATTTCGAGCGCTTTCAGGCCTATGGTGAAAAAGGAAATATCTTCCCCTGAAAACTAGACAGAAGCATTCTCAGAAACTTATTTGTGATGTGCGCCCTCAACTAACAATGTTGAAGCTTTCTTTTGATAGAGCAGTTTTGAAACACTCTTTTTGTGGAATCTGCAAGTGGATATTTGTCTAGCTTTGAGAATTTCGTTTGAAACGGGATTACACATAAAAAGCAGACAGCAGCATTCTCAGAAACTTATTTGTGATGTGCGCCCTCAACTAACAGTGTTGAAGCTTTATTTTGATAGAGCAGTTTTGAAACACTCTTTTTGTAATATCTGCAAGAGAATATTTGGATAGCTTTGAGGATTTCGTTGGAAACGGGATTGTCTTCATATAAACTCTAGAAAGACAAGCATTCTCAGAAAGCTTCATTGGGATGTTTCAATTAAAGTCACAGTGTTGAACAGTCCCTATCGTAGAGCAGGTTTGAAACACTCTTTTTGTAATATCTGGAAGTGGAGATTTGGAGCGCTCTCAGGACTACGGTGAAAAAGGAAATATCTTCCAATAAAAGCTAGATAGAAGCAATGTCAGAAACTTTTTCATGATGTATCTACTCAGCTAACAGAGTTGAACCTTTCCTTTGAGAGAGCAGTTTTGAAACACTCTTTTTGGGGAATCTGCAAGTGGATATTTGTCTAGCTTTGAGGATTTCGTTGGAAACGGGTTTACATATAAAAAGCAGACAGCAGCATTCCCAGAATCTTCTTTGTGATGTTTGCATTCAAGTCACAGAGTTGAACATTCCCTTTCAGAGAGCAGGTTTGAAACACTCTTTTTATAGTATCTGGATGTGGACATTTGGAGCTCTTTCAGGCCTATGGTGAAAAGGGAAATATGTTCTCCTGAAAACTAGACAGAAGCATTCTCAGAATCTTATTTGTGATGTGCGCCCTCAACTAACAGTGTTGAAGCTTTCTTTTGATAGAGCAGTTTTGAAACACTCTTTTCGTAAAATCTGCAAGAGGATATTTGGATAGCTTTGAGGATTTCATTGGAAACGGGATTGTCTTCATATAAACTCTAGACAGAAGCATTCTCAGAAGCTTCATTGGGATGTTTCAATTGAAGTCACAGTGTTGAACAGTCCCTTTCATAGAGCAGGTTTGAAACACTCTTTTTGTAGTATCTGGATGTGGACATTTGGAGCGCTTTCAGGCCTATGGTTTAAAAGGAAATATCTTCCCCTGAAAACTAGACAGAAGCATTCTCAGAAACTTATTTGTGATGTGCCCCCTCAACTAACAGTGTTGAAGCTTTCTTTTGATAGAGCAGTTTTGAAACACTCTTTTTGTGGAATCTGCAAGTGGATATTTGTCTAGCTTTGAGGATTTCGTTGGAAACGGGATTACATATAAAAAGCAGACAGC